>NC_000006.12:211515-363030 GCF_000001405.40 Homo sapiens | reverse complement strand
CTCCCAGGCAGTCACCCAGGTCAAATTTCCTCCTCCCTGCTTGCTCAGTGCTTGGGCCACTAGCCTCATCTGCCCTCCCAGGAAGCTTCTGGGGGCCTCTTGTTTCTTTTTGGTAGCTTTGTCTTTCTTGAATCTTCCAAGAATTTGGGAGACTTTGGAATTGTCTTTGCCTCTTCCGCAATGTCTCTCCTGGACAAATCCATGTCTACTCACTGCCATCTCATCAAGATGGCGCCCAGCTGTGTGTCCAGACTTCCTCAGTGGGATCCCACACACCGCCAGTTCATGCCTACTACGAGCCTCAAAGATGACTTCCAAGTCCTATAGCCTCAAGGCACACCCTCACGGAAAACCATTTTCCTGCATGACTGTATTGTGTGGTGACAACACTGTCTTGTGGATTAGGTAACTGTGGTCCCCTCCACTTGTCGTCTTTTTTTATTAACTTATAAACAAATCCATTTCAAATTAATTATGTCATCTGCTTAGGCTATCTCGACCTTTGCTTCTAAGTTATTCTGAAAGGACTTTGTTTTGCTTACTTGAAGAGCTCCTTGACCCTGGGTTCCAATGCGGTCTAGGGCAAAGAGCCTTGGACCCAGAGTCAGGCCGCAGTGCTAGATGAGCCTCCGCTGCTCAGAGCTAAATGTGCGCTAGTTATTTTATAGGTTTGTTGCGAAAAAGAGTTAATTTTTGTGAAAGTGCTCTGTAGCGGAAAACATTTTGAAAGCGTTCTAGAATTGGCCAAATAAAAGTAGTTTTCTGGATTCTGACATAGATGAAGGAACAATACATTTTTTTTTTTGTAATCTCAGAAAGAAACTATTGGACAGAAAATCTAGAGAATCTTTTTTTTTTTCCCTAAGAAACTACATAAAAGATGTTGCAAACTAAAACAGATTTGGAAACCTGAATGCCACGTGTGGCCCTGAAGCGTTCACAAAGGCACTGTGAAGTCTAGGCCGGGAGTCCGCAGCGGGGACGTGGTGGTCAGTCCAGTGGCTCACGTTGTTCAGTGTTAACCTGGGCATTTTATAGCAGTGCGGGAGGCCGGTATCAGAAGCTGTGCATCTTTCAAAGAAAAGTTGCTTTAAACAACTGTTTCAATTGCCACAGTGAACTTTGTTCAGAGCTAGTTTCACAGCAAACAGTCAACATCAAACTCTTCCAAGAAATGAGCGTACATTGAGAGAAAGGCAGTGGAAGAAAAAATCTAGGAAATAGAACAAGGCTATCAGATAGTAAGTGCATGGATCTGAGTGAAAGGTGACAAGAATCAGGTCAATGATAGGCTCAGAAAGAGACAATAGTTTAAAAACCCAAACCAGAAGGTGGACGAAGCTAGAGGCTGGAGCTGCAGGAGCAGTTCACGCAGGTGGAGACAAATGAGCTTGACACCAGGCTTCCCTCGCCTCCAAGTGCAGCCCCCACCCTCTCAGGTGGGTACGTGGCATCAGCTGGGTGGGGGTACGCACACAGCTGGAGGCACAGTGGGGCCAACAGTAATTTTGATGATCTGATTTCAATGCAGAAAAAGGGAATGAACGTGACAGGATGATTTTTTTAAGCTTAAGGAAGCAAAAAAGAAAGCTTAAGAGGCTAACACTCAATTCCTAAAACTTTCTTTTTAACAGAAAGTCCCAGAAACAAATGATGTCAACACACGGAGAAGCTTACGAAGCTCCAGGTGGACTAAAGCTGGCCCTGCCTATTCCACAGCATGCGAAGGGCAAGGAAGGGCTGAGCGTATTTCTAAAGGTGGGGTGAGTGAGGACTCGGGGAGCAGGAGTTTTGCTCCCAGGCAGACCGCTCAGCCAGGCACTCGGCCAGCATGCTAGTAACAGCGAGGTGCACACGCAGCTCCAAGACTGCGCTCTTTCTGTGAAGGATACACAGACTTTGTATCCGCAGCTCTGAGGGATGAGCTGGGGCCCCCGCAGCTGTCCTTGCTGGCTCGCGGGGTGCAGCAACTTCCTGAAACAAGCAAGGCCACAGTGAGGCTCTGACAACAGGCAAAGGGAGGGAGGAGCAGAGACATGCCCAGTGATTTGACAAGGGTCCGAGGGTCCGCGTGGAAGGTGACCCAGCACCTACTGCGTACCAGTCCCTTCTAAGTGGCAGAAAAGCCCCAGGCCCTGCTCTCAAGAAGCTTAAGGTCTCCTGGCAGGAAGGCGGGAGCCCCACCTTAGAGAAACTGTACATGGTGATTCTCAGTACAGTAAGAGGCATTTGCATGACTGGGCCTCATCAAACATTCACAAATATTTAAATTAGATCACATAATCAAATAGAGGTGTTCTGTGATTTTTTAATTTTTTTTTGGCAGTAGAAGTAGTCTTAACAAGCTGTATCTACATAAATTATTATGTTATTATAAATCTGACTCTGAAATGCACTTGGGGAAATGGTAATTTAAAGACACCCTAAAGGGGTTTCTTTGACAAAGAGAAACAGGGAAGCTTCCGCCTCTATCGGCCTCCTGTGAGACGCAGACTTTCCTACGCTGAGTCTCTTAGCGGGAGGGATACCCACAGAACACACTCAGGAAAAACAAAGCAGCTTTCTCATCCAGAGTCCTCAACAATCACCAGTCACCTTCAGTTATCTTTGAAGAAAGGACTAGAAAGAATGAAAGAAGCTGTGAAAAGTCAGATAATTTTCAAGACCTTTTCACTTCTGTTTCTGTAGAAAAAATGAAATGGAACCAGTTGGCAAGTGTGTCAGGTGTCAGGGAAATCCGATTAATGACACCCTTCTATATGACAATCATTAATAACCATGGGATAAAATAAGGGATAGAAAAAACGCATGCAGTAAAGCTTTTCTTTTATTGAATTTTATATTTATCATACCAGTTAAAAAAAACCAAGAAAATAAAATAAATATTACAGTAAAAAAGGGACATGCACGTGGCGATTCTTGGCACAGAAAGAGGGCGTGCTGCGTGACAAATATTTCAATCAGATCATATCGCTCAACAGAGGTGCACTGCAGTTTTTTGTTCGTTTTTGTAGAGGTAGTTTGGGAGCATGGTGGGTGCCCCTGAGCTCCAGCCTCTTCTGGAGGTACGTGCTACTCTGGTCACACCCAGGTGAGGTTGGGGCACAGGGCCGGGCATCTCTGCACCCTTCCCCAACCCTGGCTCCTCAGAAGGGCAGTCCCTGCTGGCAGCGCCCATGGGGCTGGTGGAGAGGAGGTGGGACCGAGCTGTAGTTGGAGGACCCAGCGGCCTCCTCCTCTTGTCACAGGTGTAAACCCCCCAGTGTGCCGTCTGCACCCCTAATGCTGCTTCTGCTTCTGGAGAACCCAAGCCACCGCAGCCAGTCACAAGGAGATGATGGCGATGGCCCCCACATTGTCACCTCATTTGTTCAATTCTTCCATGGAGAGGTCCCTGAGGCGTCCAGTCCAGGCAGTGGTTCCTGCTCCTGACTGCTCTTCCCTCGCAGCCGCCAGCCCAGCATCCCCAGGCCTAAATCAAGCCCCAGGGCCTTCCACAGCCGCCCACAGCCCACAGCACAGGAGCTTCCTGGGCAGGCACCTGGAAACCAGCCCTTCTTGCCTTCTAGTCTCTGGTCTCCCCAGGATAGGTCCTCAGCGTTTGCAAGTGTGATGCCAAGGCCATGCCAGTTCTGGGCCTTTACCTGCAGGCCATTCATGCCCCGGTGCCCTCACCCCTCTTCCCAGACCCCCCTCCTCGCCCAGGGTACCCCCCCCCACCGAGCAGCCCCTGTGGGCCTCTCCGCCCGGTGCACCTCCCTGCCTGCGCTCCAGGCTTCGAGGCTCCACTCTGTTCATGGAATATTCCAGAGTGACTGCCTTCTCTCCCCACCTCCTCCGAACAGAGGCTGCCCAGATTAAATATTCCTTTCCCTCATGGCAATCTGTGTGGTGCCAACCTTGCTCTCACTGTGGGCTGTGGGCACAGCGGCCAATGGGGCCGCAGATGAGGCCACCCCCTCTTCATGGGGGTCTCTTACGAGGACACAGTTCATAGCAGATGCTCCCACGCCCATAACACAGATGACCTTCCCTGGGAGGGGTCGGTTCTCCAGACAGGCTGCCAGGAAAAGCAGAGATCAGTGGGGCACATGGGCAGGAATGCTTCCGAAGCAGGGGGTCACAGGCAAAGCTCCGAATAGCACATTTCTGGAGCACATTGTGTAGGAGAGCAGAGACTCCCCACTCAGACCCCCTTTTAGTGTCAGCTTGTTGACACTCAGATGCTTCTCAGAAGCTGGTAGCACTTCCTCCATCCAATCACTGAGGTGCCAGCCCCACCCATGGCTGAGGGCCAGGGCTGCCTGTGTGAAAGGCAACCACCCGGCTCCGTGCCCACCACCCAGGCCACCCCACACAGACTCTTCCTCGCTGCACTTCTTAAAGCCTGCCTTGCCCAGGGCCTGCCGGCTCCCTCCAGGGTCCAGGTCCTAATGGGCTCAGGTGCTACCATTGCCCAGCCCTGCCCCTCAGCCTCAGGGGTTGGAGGGAGCTCCTGCCAGTCTGGTTGCTCTGACACCCACTGCTGCTTCTCTTGCCTGGTCTTGATGAGCCTCTCTTTGTCTGAGTTCTTCAGACTGGGCTGCTTCCTGCCAGGACCTGGTGCCAGGCTGTGGGAGAGGTCCCGTCTCGGCCACTCTGAACACATAGGGTGCTTTCTTGGACAAGCACAGCAAATCTCTGTGCTTCTGAAGATACCTTGTGGGACATGCAGAGCTCATCTTTCACAGAGATGGAGCATCGAGAACAGAAAGCACCCACCACTGCACACACAGGCAACTCTATATTCCTGCGGGGGGCAACCCAGGGCCCAGGACACCCAGTGCCCAGCCAGTTACTGCAGGCTAAGGCAGAAAGGTCCGGGCAGAGGCGTGCGTGGTTGTCCTGCTGCAACCCTTTGGTTGCAAGAAGCAAGAAGTGAATCTCTGCCACTCCCTACCTTCCCACACTCTACAAGGCCTCTAATCGAATGCACGCCCATCCTCAGGGAAGAACTTCAACACAGTGGCACGTGATTGCTGGCACTGCGTGGGTTTCACCCTCCTCTCGTGATTCCCCCTCAAAGGCACTGGGGTGACTGTAGGCGCACCTTGCCTGTGACTGGGGTCAGGCTGCTTGCATTCCAGTCCTGACCTGGCTGCCTCCTGGCTGTCAGACTAGAGTTCAGTGTCTTCATCTGAAAGCGAGGATCATAGTAAAACCTATCTCACAAGATGGTGGTGAGGACGTGATTTCAAAAGAAAAGGTCCTCTGCCAGTTCTCGCCATGCATCAGCGCCCAATGGCTGTTGGCCGTGCTCAGGTTGACCACCCTGCCATCTAATGGGAGGTCTTTGGGGATAGAAGGGGCCTTCCCAGACACATCAAATGCCACCAGCCAGGGTGCTGTCTGCACCCCTCATCCCTTCTAGGGAGTTTTTTTCATGGCAGTGGAGGGGAAAAGTTCCCCACATGAGTGTGTTGCCTCCTCGGGGACTTCCCCAAGGTATTCCAGAGAATCAGGACCCAACTGAACCTCAGCCAGGCCCGCCTGGCCCCAGCCACTTCAAGACTCTCATCTGCTGATACCACCTCTGCCCCAACCTGTGCTCCTGGTGGTCCTGGGAGCCGGAGGGTCACGGTGACGGGAGGGCCTGGCAAGGCATGGAGCGGGCCTCTTGCTGTGGAAGTGACTTTCCAGGCATGAAATGATGGCAGCCCACCCTTCTGCACCCCTCTCGGCCACACCTGAACCTGCAAACAGCCGCTGTAACAGCCAAGAGTCGGTTCCTCTCCTCTCACACCTTCCTGGCGTTCCCCGTGTCACCACATTGGCCCAGCTTAACACAAAACCCAGGAGAATCCCAGCAGCTGACCCTGGCACATGACAGGCCTCTCCCAGGACACTGGCTCTGAGGAAGCTCTGTGCGGCTGGGCCTGTTGCCATGAAGGGTACACCCTTTGTAAAGCAGAAGGTGACATTTCTTGGGTGCACGTGTTGGAGTCTTCTGATTCTTATTTTCCAAAAAGGCTGCCCATCAGTGTCTGGGGAAACCCAGCGCTGACTGACAAGCAGCAGACCTGCTCACCAGCAAGGTGCACTTCCTGTCTGTGCTGATGGGGCCGCTTCTGGGGGTGGGTGCCCGAGGCCCAGGGCAGAACAATGGACGACGTGCCTCTGCGGGGAGAGAGGGGCCAAGCTTCCTACCACTACTGTGCATCGTGGGGGCTGCTGCGTGGTGATGTGGCTCCTCGGGCCAAGCTGGGAAGGCGGCTCTTGCTGGGATTAGCACTTTTCCAAGCCCTGTCCTCCAAACATTATTCCTTGAAGGAATTATTAACCCAAAAAGCATCCCCCTAACCTCACCCCCATCATCTAGGTTTTTGTTTGTTTGTTTTCCAGACGGAGTTTCACTCTTATTGCGGAGGCTGGAGTGCAATGGTGTGATCTCTGCTCACTGCAACCTCCACTTCCTGGGTTTAAGCGATTCTCCTGCCTCAGCTTCCCAAGTAGCTGGGATTACAGGCACCTGCCACCACGCCCAGCTAATTTTTTGTATTTTTAGTAGAGACAGGGTTTCACCATGATGGCCAGGCTGGTCTTGAACTCCTGACCTCAAGTGATCCACCTACCTCGGCCTCCCAAATTGCTGGGATGACAGGCGTGAGCCACCCCACCCGGCCTATATAGCTTTTAAAATCAGGCCTGTGTACACAGGACATGCACAGAAATGACCCCATCCAAAATGTCTTTTCTGCTAAACCTACCTCTAAACCAATAGCTGCCACTACACGCAATTAGAATATTGAACTCCCTATACTTTCAGGCACCTGCTGAAATAGATCTCTTCCAACATCAAGCTCTAAAAACTGAACTAGAAGCTTCAGGAAGGTTCGCTGTGAACTTCTAACTCTTTATGACCAACAGTTTGCATACAGATTTGGAGCCAAAATAAACCCAAACTTGCAGATGTTCAAACATGCACTGGCAAATCTTTCCCCTGATGGAAAGAAACACATGCAGACCCAGCACTCGCACCCTTCAGTCAGATGGTAATTTAAGCTGGTTAAGTCCAAGCTGCAAGAGAACACTAATTGTGATACTGCAAGTCTCAAAGCAAGCTGTGCCTGAGGGCGGAAGGAGACCCCACTGCTGCATGTAAGAAGGGAATTAAGCCTCCAAGTGACAAGTCAAATGCAGTGTTGTTTTTTTTTCTCCCTTTCTCTGGGCAATGAAAAGGAAAGGGAAGAGGAACTGCCCGCTGCAGTCTTGGTGATTTCTTGTTAAGTACATATATAAATACAAGCGTGTTGAAAGCATATTCTTAATAAAATTATTAATAACTCAGGATGGGAGGAGACATCTGATGTGGGATCACAGGGGTGTGATTCTTAGTGTGTTCCTTATTTTTATGACTAGAGGCTGGTGTGCAGAGCAGCACTGTGACCAGCTCTGGCTGTGCGATGAGGGCTTGGCCATTCCTCGGAGTGCTTTCAGGTGCCTGCTGCTTGAGCTACCTGAATGGCCAGGAACCTGAGCTCAGCACTCTCCGAGATGTTGCACATGTAACTCTCCTGGAAGCTAAGGTGTTCTCTGAAATAAAACTAAAATGATAAAATACACATTGCCCACACATGCACACCCTGGTCAGCAGAATTTACGGCTGTCTTGTGTCCAAATAACATAAGGCAGCTCCAGAAGTTGGAAACAGAATTCTCTGCTGAGACTGAAACTAGAAAGAGCTGGCACCCAATAAACAAAAACAGCCACTAGCAGGAATCCAGGGAAAAGCACAAATGGTGCTGAGGAGATCTGGAAACACTCAAGTTTAAGGAAGGTGATCTGAGAAAAGAATCACCTTGTGCAGGCCAGGCACAGTCGCTCACACCTGTAATCCCAGCATTCTGGGAGGCTGAGGTGGGTGGATCATTTGCGGTTAGGCGTTCGAGACCAGCCTCGCCAACATGGCGAAACCCCGTCTCTATTAAAAATATAAAAATTAGCCAGGCGTGGTAGCACACGCCTGTAGTCCTAGTTACTTGGGAAGCTGAGGCAGGAGAGTCACTTGAACCCGGGAGACAGAGGTCGCAGTGAACCGAGACTGCACCACTGCACTCTGGCCTGGGCAACAGAGTGAGACTCTGTCAGACACACAAAATAATAATCACCATGGGCAGAGAGAACAGGTGTGCAGCAGGGGTCTGCCTGGGGCCCAGGAAAGGCAGCCTCTCAGGAGCAGCAGCCCTGCTCTCACATGTGCCTCATCTGCTGCACCAGCAGCACCCCAGCCCGGAGACACGGCAGGTATGGACAGAGCCTTGGCTACCCAGCTTCAGGTCCTGACCACTCACGCTCACTGCACAATGCCCCAGGACTAAGGTAATCTCCCCAAATCTTGCTAATGACAGAAACAGAGCTAGCCTGACCAGGAGATGACATTAGTCTTTGGAGAGCCAATATTTTATCCTTCACAGTAAAATAGGAAATCGGAAATTTGAATTCAATCTTCATTTTCATGAGTCTGGTCCCTGGGAATGTGTCCTGGATGATGGACAAACATGGTACCTAACCGCAGAGCCAGGTTACACCCAAGCACAGCCCCGCTTGGAGGCCCCTGATCTGGGACCCACCCAGCCCCTTCTGTAGCATCTTCCTTAAACCTTTTTGCAGAGGCATACACACCACACAGTACAGGAAGATGCTGGGACAAAAGAGCCACCGCACTGTTACCAAGGTCCCAGAGAGCAGGCGGGGCACTGGGCCCTCACTCCCCAATATGCAATCAGTCACCAAGAATAGTTGCATGTCCTTCCCCACCCTCCATCAAGTCCATTTGCCTGCTGGGCCCCTCTTCATCTCCACCACCATGACCCGTGGCAGGCTGCTGTTTTTTCTCACCGGCATAGTCCTAGCAGCAGCCTCCTGACTGGCCCCAACATGCAGTCCCACCCCACTTGGGCACCTGCGTGAGCCTTCTGCCTGCACATCCATCATGCGTCCCGCTGGCTCAGCACCCTTCAGCAAGTCCTCCACTCCCCCACCATCTGCAGAATTGCAGCCGCACCACTTACAAGGTTACAAGCTCAGGAGTCAGACCTCTGAGAACATGGTAAGGTGCTGCCCCTCTCAGCCTGCTTAGCTCCAAGGGCTGGCCTAGGAAGTAAACCTGGCTGGTCAGGCTTCGGCTGTGCTCGCAGCCTTGCTGGCACAATCCCAGCACTGCCCAGCCCTGGGGAGGCTGCTCTAGTTCTGCAGTGGCTCTCGTTCCTGACCCCAAGGTCTTTCATGCCTGCTGGCTAGCCCACGTGCTGAGCCTCCACCTGAACTCTCCTTCCTTCCCGCCATGCCCAGCTCATTCCACGGCTTATACTGCAGGTCTTAAATTAGGTACTGCGTTTTCTAAGATACTTCCCTTAAATGTTCCCACCTCCTCAAACTGGAATGTGTCTTTTCACCCCTTTCCCCCATACACGGCACCAGGGACAGCTGTAATAGTCCTTACCATGCTGTCCTGTAAGTCAGCAGTCCCCAACCTTTTTGGTACCAGGAACCAGTTTCGTGGAAGACAATTTTTCCATGGATCACAGTGGGGCAGGGATGGTTTCGAGACGAAACTGTTCCATCTCAGATCACTGGGCACTAATTAGATTATCATAAGGAGCGTGCAACCTAGATCCCTCGCATACGGTTCACGATGGGGTCTGTGCTCCTATGAGCATTTGATGCCACTGCTGATCTGACAGGAAGTGGTCACCTCCTGCTGTGTGGCTCAGCTCCTAACAGGCCATGGACCAGTACTGCTCTGTGACCCAGGGGCTGGGGACCCCTGCTGTGAGTGACAACTTTCCTAACTGCCAACCCCCCCAGGCCACAGTCTTTCTGAGAATCAGGAGTGTGTCTGAGGCCTGGCTGGATCCCATAGCACCTGTTACGATCATTATAAATTTGTCAAGTCAATGAATGAATGAATGAATGAATGAATGGAGAGGCAGCTGACCCAGTTAAGTCTCCTCTGCTTATAGGCTGTGATTCTGAGTTTCAGGCTAGAAAAGATCTGTGTTCAAAGAAATTGAAGAAAAAACAGCATAACGGAAAGTGCCGTGGACCTCAACCCACCTCATTGTACACGT
This sequence comes from Homo sapiens, assembly GCF_000001405.40. NCBI lineage: Eukaryota > Metazoa > Chordata > Mammalia > Primates > Hominidae > Homo > Homo sapiens. The sequence continues at coordinate 352,921 of NC_000006.12, read as the reverse complement.
CCAGGTCTTCACGGGGGCTCAGAGGTTGCCAATTCCCATCTCCAGGGTGACCCACAAGGCCTGGCCTGCTTGTGAACAGACCGGGATCTCTGGCTTGTAACATCTAAGATGGTCAATACCATCTCAGCATGGCCCTGAGCTTCCGGACAGAGGTCAGGAATTGACTGCCCCCACTCGATGGCCCAAAACAAACTCCCAGAGACTGGAGGGGGGCAGGCAAGGAGAGCTTCCTGGTGCCAACACTGCTGCCTGAGCCTGGCCCTGCCTCAGTGGAACCCTCCAGAGCCCTGGGCCGGAGCCCATGAGTGACTCTGCTGAGCTCCTCCCAGCTGCTTTCGCCAGCCACAGCTGGCAGCCCCTTGTGCCCTCACTCCTTCCCTCCCTGCCCACTGATTTGGGACCAAAAGATCCAGCAGGTTCCAGTCCCAGCAATGTGGACATCTTCAGGCGCATTCCGAGGTGCATTTCACAGCCCCTCTGAGCCTCGAATGAGTGAAATACCTTCTCTGTCAGTTTAAAAAGCTTAGGGGCAACAGTTCGGGACCTGCAGAGCAGCACGCAATTATGAGATGATGGGTGTTGGTGTCAGATATAAGCCTGCAGTAAGACATGGTAGTGGGGAGTGACATTGGCTGAGAGCTGGGTGACCCTGCAGACTGGGGCTGTTGCATGAAAACCTGTTTTCCTGCTGTGGCTACTGCCTCACACCCCAGGAGACACACACAAGTCTTCCTGGGCTGTGCTGGGGCCTGGCTGCTGCCTCCTGAGTGGGCCCCACAGGAGACACAACCAGGGCTTGCTGGTCTGGCCCATGAAAACACTCAGAGGCACCGAGGACAGAGCCACCTGTGCCATACCAGGCATTCAGAGTGTCCCCTCACGCTCATCGGACTGCTGCAGAGGCTAGAAGCTCAGGAGTCAGACCTCTGGGGACCTGGCAAGGTGCCTTACCTCCCTATGCCTCTCCTGTGGCCCCCAGCCACTCCCCTGAGCTGCTGCCGGGAGCTTCAAGGCATCAGAATCTACATAAAGTCTGCCACCTACAGTCAACCAGCTCATGAGTTCACTTGCCTTTAGATCAACCCAAACTTACCCTAGCAGCGTTAAATTTCCCTTTTCCTCCACCAGATCAGAGAAGGAAAATTTTACAAATTGACTTAAATTTCTCGTCAATTCAGGTGACGTTCCCTCAGATTAAAAGCTGAAGATGGAATGAGAGTAGCTGTGTTCAATGCTGTGCGGCAGATGCACACGGCGCGGCTGGCTGCATGCTCCTGGGCAAACACAACTCGTTCCAGGTGCCGAATACGCCGCTCCCACCGTGCAGGCAAAACAGAACTAACTCTCATGTCCACATTTCCTTCGCCTCACACTCATGGCCTATTTTTCTTTCTTGGAGACATGAATTCACCTTTTGTAGCATCTGCTATAGCGCCTTCTGGAGGCAAACAATAGCCTCTAAAATAAAACCAGGAGTAGGCTTCAGTCTTGCCTTGGAATCCCTCACAGGCAGAAGGGCGCGTGGTGACTGCCCCTTGGCTAGGGAAGAATGCATCGCACGCGACCTTAAACTTGGCTAAGTTGCCCTTTATTAACGAAAACATAGAGCTTTCGGTCAATTCCACCACGGAGAACACAAACCAGAGATAAAACCCACACCAAGGGCTATTTCCCAAGCTGGGGAATTTGAGAACACACGGGCAGAGTTCACGCCACACAACTACACTGGGCTCGTCCTTGGGAGGCGTTCACAGGAAGCAATCACGAGCGCCAAGCCACCCACAAGGCAGTGCGGCAAGGCTCCCGGGATCCTTACAGGCATCCAAGCGAGGTACAGAAACCTCCACAGCAGTGGGGATAAGGGGAAAATATTTTCTCTTGCTAAAGAATATCCTTAGTTCTCAACATAAACATGACTACGTATATATTCAGCTTCAAATGAAAAACAAGTTTACAAATCACTACTGGATACTTAAACTCTATGTTGCTTTTCTTTTTGGCAGCACCAGCCTAAACTCTGTGGGTTTGCAATATTTCAGAAACTTCAGGTACATTACAGTCTTCTGAGAAAGGCCCAGAACTTCAGAATTCCCGGAGCGGCTGTGAAGAAAGAACATTACTGGCAACAAATATTAAAACAACATTTCAAGAACTCCAAGAATACACTGAGAGGTTTGTAAAGGTGCACATATTTAAGCATTCAAGCTATATCCTAAATCATTTTTCTGTTAACGTATTTATTTTTGGCTTAGGAAAAACATGTACTTTATTGGCAAATTGTTTTAGCTGTAGACGGATGGATGATTCTACAGCCACACTCCCCTTTCCGGGTGTACATCCGGGGCCTGTGCACCTGCGCGGAATCAGGCAACTTTGTTTTTCCCGGTCCCCAAAAAGCTCACCTTTGACACACCCTCTATATGCACAGGAAAACTGCTCTTCTTATTCAGGGTCTCTTTTTGTGGTGGAATTCAGAGAAACTGGGTTGCAACATCTTTTTAGGGAGAGGTCGAGTATGTTTTTTCATTCGAGTGACTCTGCATGCTTAAGGAATCTGAGTCGGTATAAAGGACTAGACCACTGAATTGCGTACAGCGTCCCAGGATGCCTGCAGCCCCAGAGTACAAACTGTAGATGCTCTCGTGGCCTGAATGTGGAATTTTACCCACCAGAAAGCATTACTGGAGCCCAAACTGGCAACTTTAAATAGCTCAATGATATCGGTACCTTCCCCTTTGGTTTCAAAAGCAATCATGACCGAACATTTTCAACTGTGAGGCAAAGCTGACTTGCATACCAAAAAACACCTTTCCAAAAACATTCAATGAGGTAGCTCAGATCAATTATCAAACCCAAGTGAATACCAAGAAGCTTAATAAATGCTCAGGCATTTTAAAATGCAAATTGCTACAGTGCCTAATAAATGCTCTTTCTTCCCAATTCTTGCAGGTGCATGCAAATGTTGAGGAGGAGCCCCTGCAAAGTGAGGACAGCGAGAGGCTGGGAGTGAATGAAGCTGGCAAGGAGCAGAGAGGAGGGGGTGCCCTGGGGCACCCAACTTAGGCTAAAGTGCGCCTGCCCACCACAGAGCTCAAGTGCAATCAGCTCCAGAGAACAAACACCAAGTAGAACTCAGGGCTCGATGGGCTGAAAAGTGGCCTTGACTCAAGGCGCTAGGGAACCCTCAGCCTGGTGCATTCACATTGAGATGGAGGCAATCTAAGATACTTCCCTTAAATGCTGAGTTGGTATAAAGTGCTGGCCCACTGGACCAGCTCAGGGCAGTCTCTCACGTTTTCCAGGGCCCCAGAGCCACCCTCCCTCTAGAGGAGTCTGGCCCCTGTTGCCCCCACCACACCACCCTGGGTGGGTTCTGGGAGAGGCCATGCTCTTAGCCACTCGTCCCCTGAGTTCTCACGGTCTGCTCAGAGGCACAGACTGCTCTTTGCTGGGTAGCTTTTCGGAGGTCGAGCTCAAATGCCTTCCATGTGGAGTCTTGGACAAAGGGAAAGGTGGCCACACCAACCCGGGCAGCAATATGAATTCTGTGACTTCCAGCAGTAAGAAAGAGTTCACACACACACAAACATTCATGTGCACAGACACTTTCACAACATACACACATGTACACACTTAGGTGCACATACCCTCACTCACACAGGCACACACATGCATCCACTTAGTCACCCACACACAAGTGCACTCACACACACGCACGTGCACAGAGCAGTGCACAGCCACTGGGCAACATCCCCAGGGGCAGCAAGCTCAGGTGCAGCCAGGGTAGGGGTGGGCGGAGTGCAGGGGCCTGGAGCAGGGCTGGGCGGTGTTGCTTGGGGGAAGGAGCCCTCGCCCCACCTCGCCCTGGCTATCTCCCTTTCCTGTCCTCATCGGCCACCACCACCGCACCCCTGCCCAGCCGGGCACACTGAAGACAAGCAGTGGGAAGGAAGGCAGCAGGTCGCTTGCGTTAGGTCTCCGTCGTATAATTATCGTAGGTCAGCGGAGCCAGTGCCGGAAAACTGCTCCACCGCCTGGCGCCGGGCTGGGGCTCTGTGCGCCCTTGCTCCTTATATTTACCCAGAATGTTTTTGGCTTCTTCTGCATCCTGCAAAGGGCTCTCTCCATATTCTTCCTTCAGCCACTGCCGATACTGGAGAGGATGGAAACAAACCCGAAACGTCACACACATGTGCACGTCTGCATCCACGTGGGCTTGCACCTGTGACTTCACCACAGAGATGGTGCCACACATAACCAGGGAAACAAACAGCAGTGGGAAATCAGAGCTCTGTGGTTGGCCAGCCAGGGTCAAGCAAGAGAAGGAACTGCTCCTTCAAGGTGCTGGCCTAGGACATGAAAATAGGCCAGACCAAGGAAATGGTACGTCACCCAAAGGGAGAGAAACAAACTAGTAGGGAGTACCAGGCACAAGGAGAATGACAAAGGGTAGGCGCCTGTGGCTTCAACAGGTGCACGAGGGATCGTGACGACTTCTGAAGGGGTGCAGCTGGGCGCCCTGGGAGCCGATGTCCTCTGTGGGCCTTTCAACTCCAAACGCCATGATGCTGGCTGTGTACGGAAAGACTGTGGGCACCGTTCAGGGGCACCTGCCTGCATCTCTGATGTCCCCTAAGAACTGCTTACCTGATGGACCTCATGCTTCTCAAACTCCTGGAGCTGTCTCTGGAAGCCCACGTTGGGGTTGGCACAGGATCTCCCAGCACGCACGGTGTGCAGGGCATCCTCCCAGCCAAAGTCAGTGACGGTCATGATGTATGCGATCACCAGTGTCACGCTCCTGGAGACCCCGGCCAGGCTGCGGGGCCAAGAGAAGCACATGTGTGAGGGCAGTTTCAGATCTCCGGGTTCATCGCCCAATCCATGTGGAGCGGGGGACTCTAAGGACCTTGTTCAGAAAGTCTTCCTGCCTTGGATTATATGTGGACAGCAAGCTCGCCACCAGGAAGCCACTCAGCACTCAACGTACCAGCTCCCTATGCTTCCTGGCACTAGAATCGCATGCTTTCTTCTGCTGTTTGAGCTTCTTTTATTGGTTTTCTATGGGCTGTGGCTCCAGATGCTCCCTTGCTCCTCAGCCCCTCCTCAGGTCTTTCCCATTTCCCCGGACAAACGACATAACTGAGGTACTCCAAGGAAACGAGGCTTCCAGGGCCTACGCGACAAACCCATTTATAACCTACATTTGTTTAGAATGCTTCATGTTCCTTAAAAGTCGAGTTTTCTCAGCTATATGAGGGCTAGATCTATAATTTTTAAAGCCCATGATGTAGAGAAGCCCTTACCCAATCTTACTTTTGTACTCTTCCTGACATAAATATGCAGAGTACAGAGCAGGCACACTGTGTCCGCAGGGTGGGAGCAAGGCACCCTTGCAGGCAGTAACGGTTAGGGTCAGTTACCTGGAGCAGGCTGAGTGAGACCCGTTTTACATGTACATGCAAATGAAGGCGGTCACAGAATGGCTGTGCTTCATCAGACTTAGAGAGTTCTAGCAACAGGTTAAGATGGGGAAGTTCAGCAAATGTCTCACTTTTAGAAAAGCCTATCTTTAGGTGCACAGAACTGTATGAAGTATTAATTCCTAGAATATCAGGCCTACACATATTCAAATATAAACAATAATTTTAAAACCCCACTCTCAAGTAGTGGCTCTTCACTAGGGCTTTAGATTAGAACTACCAGGAGAGATCTTAAAAGACAGATCCTCTGGGGCTGCAACCCTGGAGATTCACCTTCACTAGGAGCCAGGAGAAGCCCAGGAGTGGGAGTTCCAGAATTCCGCTTTAATTGGCTCCAATTGAACCCCCAAGGTATGTTAAAGCCAAACAGAAATGAACGTTAAAATCCTACCATTTGTATTTATTACACTTTCTACTCTTTAAAAAAGTGAGATGAAAAATCATGTGATTTCAAGAACTGTATGAAACTGCAGACACCATTCTAAAAACAACTCAACTATCTAGCGTCCTCCCTGTCGTCCCTATCGGCCCTCAGAACACATTATAGTTTTCATAGGTGGCTTCTCTGGATGTCATGCACTGGGTCCCTGGGTCCCCTCTGTCCTGGCAGGGCTGCCACCAACCTCAGCAGCAATATTCCCCAGGAGTTATCACTTCACAGTCCTAAAGAGCTTACAGTGCAAGAGGAACTGTTTCGGGGAATGTCAAAAGACTGTTAGGCTTCCAGTTAATTAATAACACACTTCATTCAAGACAGAGAGGGGACATGTCCGGCCTAGCACTTAGACAACAGAGCCTTGGCTCCTGAATTTTGGCTACTGGTTCCCTGAACAAATTAGCCATGTTATTAGCATGATTACGAGTGGTCATAAAAATGCCATCCCACTTTCACTAAGAACTCTCTATGTGCCAGGCACACTGCCAAGCGCTTCAGATGCATCATCCTCGGGTTAAGCGTGATACAGTAGCTTTCTTTTCACTGTGTGTGTGTGTGTGTGTGTGTGTGTGTCTACACAAAATATAGCAGGATGCAAACAGACAGCCGTCACTAAACTGGGTCATTCTGGTGTCACAGTAGCGCGATACTGAAAATCCACATTTGCAATCAAGTCTCCTGAAGAAAAAACAACAGTGTCTTCAAAAAGCCACTGAGGTTTCAAGGATGAGCCTACAGAATCTGGGTCATCTGTAAGAGGCTGTTCTGATGAAATGCTGGAGGCAAGCCAGCAAAGGGAAGTTTCTGTTGTCCAGTAACCTTCACGGTCCCTACAGAAATCCTAGCAGTGGAAATGGGAAAAAAACAAAAGCAAAACGAGTTAGGGTTCTCCTTCAACAGAAGGAAAGGGCGACTAACACACAGCGCTGGACAAATGGAGCACGCGTTTGAGAGTCAGGGTTTACAGAAAACTATTAGGAGGTGAAACCATTATTCACACACGGAAAAACACTTGATGGGAAGCCAAGCCGACCAGAATACGCTAAGGCGCTATTAAGCAAGAGACACACGTACCAGTGTACAAGGCAGCTCTCACCGCGGAGCCGGCACTCGTGAATGAATTTAATACTTTCTTTGAAATGTCTTGTCCTGGGAAAAGAAAAAAAGAGAAATGACATCTCTCTACTTTACTCAATATATGATGAAAAGAAAATTCTACCTGAGGCTTCTTTCTTAAAATGTTAATTGATTTTTTTGTATAATTGACACATAATTCTACATATTTATGGGCTACAGTGTGACACTTCAATGCATGTATACATTGTATAATAATCAAATCAGGATAATTACCTGATAAATGCTTAATCACTTTAAACATTTATCACTTTGTAGTGATAACATTCAAAAGCTTCTCTTGTAGCTATCTTGAAACATATACTACATTATTATTTGCTATAATCAAATAATCCACCAGGTAATGGAAACCAGAACATGGCTGGGTGCGGTGGCTCACGCCTGTAATCCCAGCAATTTGGGAGGCTGAGGCAGGCGGATCACTTGAGGTCAGGAGCTCGAGACCAGCCTGGCCAACATGGTGAAACCCTGTCTCTACTAAAAATACAAAAATTAGCTGGGTGTGGTGGCACACACCTGTAATCCCAGCTACCAGGGAGGCTGAGGTAGGAGAATTTCTTGAACCCAGGAGGCAGAGATTACAGTGAGCCAAGATCACACGACTGCACTCCAGCCTGGGCAACAGAGGAAAAAAAAAAAAAAAAGAAAGAAACCAGAATTTATTCTTCCTGTGGTTTACTGAAAGCTCTCCTAGTCCCATACCATCAAAACCTGGTCATACTGTCTGTGGCTGGAGCTGTCTCAGCCTCAGAATCCATTATTTACAATGCTGAGGTCTAGGGAAGGCTGTGGGTTGTCTGGAAGTTTTGGAATTTCTCTGTAAGAAATCCCTGAAACACATAGTTACCACAGACTGGGGTTGAGGGAAGTTCTGGACGGCGCCCCCCATGTTCAATCGGAGCCCCTCAATGCCCCAGCAGCACAGCAGGAACCCTCACACCAGCTGTGGATGGTGCAGGCCACCGTGACGCAGGTGAGGAAGGTGACCACGTCGTGTGGGCTTTCCAAGTCCTAAAAGCTGATTTACTCCTGGCAATCTGGAAAATCTAAAAGCATTCTCTCAAACTGGTCTCCCGGGACTTTGGCAGTCCTGTCTGCAGCTCAGTGGAGAGCTGTGGGGAAATGGAAATTCTGGCTCCAATCCCTCTTTGCCATTTACTGGACCGTGTGGCCCAGGACAAGCCATTTATCTTCTCATTTATAAAGTGGGGCTGGTATCTCACAGGGCAGATGAGGTAATACATGCCAATATGCTCTGCAAACTCTGAAGTCCTAAATGGACTGAACGCGGTGGCACACACCTATCATCCTAGCACTTGAAGAGGCTGAGGTGGGCAGACCACTTGAGCTCAGGAATTTGAGACCAGCCGGGGCAAAATGTCGAAACTCATCTCTACAGAAAATACCAAAAAAAAATTAGCTGGGTGTGGTGGTGCATGCCTGTAGTCCCGGGTACTTGGGAGGCCGAGGTGGGAGGATCTCTTGAGCCCAGGAGGTTAAGGCTGCAGTGAGCCGAGATCATGCCACCGCACTCCAGCCTGAGCGACACAGCGAGACCCTGTCTCAATAAATAAACAAATAATAGAACTAAGTTCTAAATGATGACGCGTGCCTTAATCCTTTCTTCTTCTAACTCTTTAGTTTTTCAGACTGCCCTTTTCTCTTGTCACTCATTCAGCCCCCTAACCGTTCAGGGAGTGCCTGGTTGCACGGCCTTGTGCCAAGTCCCTGAGGCACAAAGCCAGGCAGGACTCGAGCCCCACTGTGGTGCGCTCCCAACCAGCATGTGTGTCCCCTGCCACTCAGACCTCATTCTGGACTGGTTTGTGGGTTAAGTGCTGACACCTCGGGATGGATAGCACATGTACCTCTCCAACGTCTTCTACCTTTGAATGGCTTATAAAACAGCAAAAGTTGCCCATGGACTAAACTGACTTCTCTTTAAACACTGACTGAGTACTGACAATTTGCCAGGGACTCTGATAAACTGTAAGACATTCAGAATGCCAGGGCACATGAATGTAATAAGAATGAGAAATTCAGGCACGGCCTAACAAACTCACCCAGGTACTGACTGCAGAAGAAACTCAGCGACCTCACGGCAGGTGCTCAGTGAGATGAGGACAGCCAGGGAACAGCAGCAACTGTCCATGTGCATGCATCCACATGCAAACATGCACACGCAAACATGCACACGCAAACATGCACACACATGTTCTGCAACAACTGCAAGGGTCACCACAAGCACAAATCCCTAGGGGACCAAATCAAGGACTCCGGACTCTGACCTGACATCTCTAACTAGCACATCTGCTTTTGTTAACTTTCCCAGGGATAACTGCCCCCAGATGTAAATAAGAACAGACCAGAGTGGGCACTGCAGGCAGGGACAGCGTCTTGGCACCCTTGGGGGGCCACAGCAGCGTGAGCAGACTGGGAGACCAAGGAGGGTGCCGTCCAGCTGCACCCCTGCAGCCAGCCAGTCAGCTGCCCCAGCCTGTGCACTGGCCTGTCTACTGTGGCCTGCAAGGAGGGCAGGCACCCGGTGTAAACCACCAGGCAAGTTGCAGACCAGCAGTCTGGAGCCACTTCTGGGCCAGATGAGTTGGCTCAAGGTTTTAAACATTGTTGAACTAGTTGCTGATATCAGGTAGCATGAATTTGGCCATGAGTAGCAGAATACCTGCACCCAGATGTAATAAGGTGGCTTGGTACACAGCAGGCAAGAAAGGATTCCTGCTGTAATCCCGAAATCTAAGGTATCAGTGCCGAAGGACACTCCAGAGCAGACACCCATTACAGCCAGGCCGCAAAGCCAAGTATACAGCAGAGTGGGGCACGAAGGGAGCCTTGTTGGGCAGGAGCCTGGCCCCCAGCAAAGAGCTGGGTAGCCAGCTGGGAGCTCCCCACACCTTCAGCACAACTAGCCGTCTGCGGTTGGCAGAGAAGTCTGCTGGCCTGGAGATAATGGAACCGGACAAGACATGTCAGCCGCACTGATTTTGTTTGGGAAGGACATCCTGTCTTCCTGCAGCTCTGTCCATGTTGAAGCAATGGAAAGGCTGTGGGTAGGGACTTCTGGAAAACCTTTCCCTTCCCGAAGAGAGGAAAGTGATCTATCTCTGCCCCTGACCTCCGGCCATGGAGCTGGGAGCGAGTGCCATGCTCAGAGCTGCACCACCTGCTGCCAAGTGTCTCTCTCCCTTAGAATGCCATGTGTCAGTCAAACACGGTATTCTGCCACTCATGGCCAAATTCATGCTACCTGATATCAGCAACTAGTTCAAAAATGTTTGAAACCTTGAGCCAACTCATCTGGCCCAGAAGTGGCTCCAGACTGCTGGTCTGCAACTTGCCTGGTGGTTTACACTGGGTGCCTGCCCTCCTTGCAGGCTGCAGTAGACAGGCCAGTGCACAGGCTGGGGCAGCTGACTGGCTGGCTGCAGGGGTGCAGCTGGACGGCACCCTCCTTGGTCCCCCAGGCTGCTCACGCTGCTGTGGCCCCCCAAGGGTGCCAAGACGCTGTCCCTGACTGCTGTGCCCACGCTGGTCTGTTCTGTGTGGGTCTCTTTCTGGTCAGAAAGAGCCGTGTCTGTACGCAGAGCAGCCAAAAAAGCAAAAGCAAATCTAGAAATGAATGACGACCGCCTGAGTAAATGAAAAACCACAGAGCACGTCAGAACACACTGCAAAGACCACACAGCAACATGAAAGTTAGCAGCTGCCCATCTGAGTGGGGACAGGATTGGGGTCACATTCAGTTGTACGAACCTCACCAAGGTCTTGTAAAGATGACAACTGAATCCCTTCACTGAAACCTTGGAGTGGGGACCACTTCTTATATCTCACTTTGACATCTGCACGTCCCCAACCACAGACACAATGAAACCGGGCTTCTTACATATTGTGGGGTTGAACCTGGGTTCAAGAGTCAGCCTTGCCACATCTCAAAATACAAGAGGGGAGTGTGCTCAGCCTGGCACCATCCAAACCCATCCGTGCCCAGAGAGCCGAGTGGGCGTGTGAAGGAGCTGAGGAGGTTATGGAGAGGTGACCCCACTCTGCACCACCACCCCCCGGTAGCTCTTTCCGTCTGTAGTAAGAGTTAAGTCCAGTAGAGCCCACAGGACATAGCTCCTATCCACCACCATGTTGGGGGCCTGGGCTGCGTAGCCCTTGTGCAGGCATCATGATAGGGCCATTCGCGGCGCCACCCCAGGAGCCGGAAGGATGCCAACAAGGCGGCCGCTCAGAGCCCCACAGTGCAGCTTGACTCATGGACACAATTCGGCACAAGGCCAAGCCAGAGAGATATTCCTAGAAATGCCTTTTCCAAGAAAAGCCCAGAGGCAGGCGAGCGCACTGCCACTTTGGTGCAGGACTGTGTGTGGGGGTGTTATTTCCAGGGAAGCTGATGACAGAAGCCCCAACTCTGGTCATTAAACTCCCTCCTCCACAGTGGGAAATACCCACAGTCCTGGTCCTTCTATTGCTCAACTGCAGTTAGAAGCAGAAGTGCGAGTCTGAAGCACTATCCTACCGCAAGCTGTTTCGATGAACACAAGTTCCCTGTTCCTGCTCTCCGTTTCATCGGCAGTTCACCTTTACGTCCACGCACAGCCGTGTGGAATAGGCTCAGTCCACAGAGAGCCAGCGAATGCTGCACAAGGAAGCACGGACCGGACCACGCTTGCGTTAGAAACTCACCAAACAGCGCCCGGGGCTATCATGCCCGCTCCTGCCCGCGGTCCTTGCAGCAGGGGCACCTCCAGGGAGAGGGGACTCGCAAACTGCCCAGTCACCCGCAGCTGTCTCCCTCCCTCGTCACAGACCAGCACCCTCTGCCTGGGTCCCTTCCTTTCTGCATCAAAGGCCAAGAGCCAGTGCCCAGATGGGCTCTACCGACCTTCAGAGAGTCTAAGAAAAGATGGTGGATGAGCTTGTACATCACACTACATGGTGTTCACTTTTGAGGCTGAACAACTACTTCTCACTCCAGGACTGCAAGATTTGGAGGCCTCAATCCCCACTGTAGGATCTAAGATGGTCCTGTCCTGCTCAAAAGGACTTTGCCTGTTGGAGTGGGAGCCCAGAGATCTGGCTGAGCACCTTGAATGGCAGCTGGCCCTACCCTAAAAGCCCATGGTACCAGACCACGCTATAACAGCAGCAAGGCCACAGGGACACAGGGTGCTCCTCCTTCCTGCAAATGATACAAAAGTGTATGTGCAAATGAAAGCAAAGGACAAATCCAAAAAAGGCAAGCATCCTTATATATAAGAAATCTATATTTTTATACATTACATATGTAAATATGTATGTTTTTGCTTAGAAAAAAAAGTTTTTGCTTGTTTTCTAATAGCAAATGAGTAGAGTATTCTATCTGGGTCCAGGCTCTGGAAGGTGGTTTCATAACAGAGAGCTGCTTCCTCTTCGGGCAGAAATCTGTCCACGGCCCCCAACCCACAGGCCCTGCCCCAGCACGCTTTCCAGCTGGAAGGCTGATGGTGAAGCCCCCAGTCCACCCAGAGGTAAGTGGGAAGAATGTTCCTCATCAGACAGACATGGTGGAGCTGCCCTATCAGCACACAGCATTACACACAAAACCAGCCCACGTTTGTATCAGTGATTCCCCAACTTTGATATTTCACGCACTGTCAACATTAAAAATAGAATTGGGGGATGCATATATTGTACTTTTCATTTGGCCAGATAAGGGCTTTTTAAAAGCAAACTAAAACAAAGGGCCTCTCTACCACTTACTACAACATCATTTCCCAGAAGAATATTTCAACAACAAAAAGAAGGACATAATCTAAGACTAAACGATAGTTCTTTTAAGTGGAATAAATGAAGTCTTATGGAAAACTGAATGCCACTTTCAGCTCTCATTTTCTCCTTGAGCAGGAGAACATCACTATGGGCTGGCAGAGCCCTCAGGAACTGTCTGGAAGCAGGACCACAGTAGTCCAAGGGCCCAACTAGCTCTCATCTTGCAAAAGTGCTCCTTTATAATAAAATAAAAGAAAAACGTAAATGAGAGAAAAAGAGAGTTGAAAGTACAGAAGGTGTCAGTTAAAGAAAATATAGACAAAAAGATAGGGAGATAGAATAAGGCAAGGACGTTTTACCGATGTTTTCAATATAGGCTCTCTGTATTGCTAAAGCTTCTTCTCCCCACAAAAACCTCAAGAAATTTACAGACCTGCTAGATTCTAAAACCACTGAATGTCACAAAGGCGCTACTGCAATGATGTATACCGACTCCATAGCCTGGCAGAGATCAAATGCCCTTGGACTTCACAGAAAAAGAAAAAAAAAATCTGTAATTACTTGCTTCATGATGTCAAAGTACAAAATGCCAATGTAATATATATTAAAGCAAGATGAGTAAATATAAGTTAATATGCATCTAACCATTCACTTTCAAAACATATTAATACTCTTTACTTGAATAGACAGAAAATATAATCATATTTCCAGAAATGCCTAGTGTTCATAAAAAACACTTTCACTTATATCATCTCACCTAATACTATAAAAAACCCTGTGAGATAGGCATTTTACAGATGAGAGAAGAGAGGTTAAAATGACTTTTCTAAGAAATCCCAGAGAGAAAGCAAAAGCAAGTGAGTATTTCCAAAGCCCTTAATTCACTAACCCATACCACGCTGGCCACTTGGGGAACACGCAGTGTGTGCATTTGATACAAACTCTAGGACGCCTCTAATCATGACAAAATCATGCAAAACACACCACAGTAGGTCTGTGGGGTTATTACAACTCTGAGAACTTGAACTTTTACATTTCCTGACTTGGCAAGGCTAGCTGGTTGGGGAACTGAGCTGAAATTCTAACATGTTAATGTTATCTCAAACTAGGTTTCTGCATTTTAAGTTCCTGGAAGATCAGAGAGGGAGATTTGAGAGGATAGAGGCCAAGACAGAAAACTGACCTTTCCGGGCAGTCTGCAGCAACTGAATGTCAAGTGACAACAGCTAGTCTCAAAGGTCACACATCTCTTACTAAGCATAACTTGCCAGAATTCCTGTTCGTGCAGGGATTTGTGGGGAAAAATTTAAGATATAGAGTGTTAAATTACATCAAAGCTGGCATTCATTTTTAAAATCTGTACTTAAGTTTAAAACAATGAGCAACATAGTTTTCCAGAATTTATTTTATCATTGAATAGAGAAACTCTGAAGCACCGAGAATTTTTTAAGTGGCTAAAGAGCTACTATTTCAAATTGTTTAGGTCCTGCAGAACACAGTTTCCAAGTGACAGGTAAGACTTCTTTTGCTTTTGTTAACTAGAGAAATACGAATATTTGTCGTCTGACCATCCTCATTGGTTGATGATACAGAAAGCAAAAGTTGATTGTCAGCACCTGATACTTGGTAATAAACACCTTAATAAATACCCCGAGAGAGGTAGGTGTTCTGCCTGCCAACTTGAGGGGAATCATTTGATTACATGGTGAAAATATGCTCACCATTAAAAAGTACACTATGCCTTCCAGTAGAACACTTGTAACAGGTAAAAAGAAACTCAAGCTATTTCATCGCCTGCCTCTTAACAAGCTGAGTCACTCAAAGTTCCGAAGTCAGCTCCACCATTTCCACATAACTTTAGTACAGCAAGCAATATTTACAGTCATGGACATATGTGTGTCGAAGCCTTACTTATTCACAAGATTTGCTGTTACTAATGGGTTAAAAATAAACGTTTCCCCCAAAAATCACACAAGAGCATGACTCCCAACAGCAGAGTGTCCACTTTTCCCCACCTTTTCATGAGCTACGGTCCTGACTTCCTTTTTCAGCTGAAACAGAAGTCTTACTGTCGTAGCTTCACTGGAGAGTGCAGCACGGCGCATCCTCCACTCACAAGCCCCAGACACGGCACTGCCACACCTACCTAACCCCTAAGCCCACCCACGTTTCTAGTTTGCCTTTGTAACTCTTTGTCATCCAGATACATCAAAGGCCAAGAGCCAGTCATCCAGCCAAAGAAAGAGTTACAAAAGCAAACCATAAACTTAACAGGACCTCTTCACATATTTGGGATAGGAGAGAACTAATTAAAAGGGTAGGAGGAGGTGAGGGGTGAAAAATTGCTTAAAGAGTAAAACGTTCACTATTCGGGTGACGGATGCGCTAAAAGTCCAGACTTTGCCATTAAGCCTTATATCCATGTAACAAAATTGCACCTGCAACCCCTAAATCTATACGTATTTTAAAAAGAAAAAGTATGGGCTAGTCCTTCAGCACCAAAGGTGACTGGAATTAGGCTGGTTTTGACAGATGATCTGAACTGACCCACGAGACCTAGAACTCAGAGAAGAAGCTGGCATATCTCTGTCTCCCCTGTCCCTCCATGTCAGCAGGTCTCTCAAGTAACTGAAGCAGGCTTCCTGGGCACCAAAACTTGTTATTGCAACTACCTTTTCTGTAACTCTCAAGATACATTAATATACGCTGAGTGAAAACAGACTCAGTTTTACAAGTGCTCAGAGTTCGCAGAAAACACCTTCACATACATGCCCTTGCCTCCAAAAACCCTGAGGGCAGGCATTTTCAGATGGGAGAATGGAGGTGTAGATGGGTTAAAATGACCTGCCCAAGGTAGGTGTAACTGGCTTTACAGTTGAGATTTTCTAACATCTACGCCTACTACTTACTTGTCTATAGTGCAAGGGGTCACTCCACGCTTAAATCAGGTCACTGTCACAGACAAGAGAGCACTCAGCTCCTAGCAAAGCTGAGAAGCACTGGGGACAGCTCAAGGACAGGTAGCCACCTGCACTGACAGCAGATGTCCAGAGCCCAGAGTGGGTCACATCTGAGTTTTTCTTCTAAAGAATCAAATTGCCAATCAGGTACTGACAAGTTCAACAGCATGTCAGAATCTCGGTTTGAGATAAGAGCAAAGCAACCATTCTAAAAATAGCCACCAAAACATGGGCAGAAGATTGCTATGGTCTTCAGAGAAAGGCAGTGGCTCACTTCCTTCCGTGTGCACCATGCCTTCCAACCACTTCTGTTTCTTGACACGACTAGTAACCAAGGAAGTTCTCTAATGCTGCTTCTCCTCCTTCCAGGCCTAGAGTGCTACTCTGTTTTCCTAGGAAAATCCCCCCTCCACCATCCTCAATCTTAAACGTTCACCTTTCTGTGAAATATCAAGAGTGCATGTGGAAACACAGCCCCTGGGGAGCACACAGTGGCTCCAGCTTCCCACCTCCCGTTCCCCTCCTGATCTACCACCTCACTTTTCCCATGTCAACCCATCTTACTCCAGCTCTATTTTTTTTCCCAAAAAGGTAGATCTCACAAAATTATCGCATAACCTGTGATTTCTCTGCTCTGCCCCAGTGAAGGCTCAAGGTCGGCTGATGGCCAGCGTTCAATAACTCCCAGAGTGGTGGCACACCTAGGGTCCTGAACATTGGGGCACATGGTCTGCACTCCTGATCCATAGGGTGTGCGTGCACCAGTGCTTGGGGCATAAAAGGGGAATCCAGACGAGCCTGAGGACTCCCAAATTCACAAACTTCACCACAGCCTACAACTTCCCTGTGACATGCAGTAACACACAGTTCTAGGAGGGTTGCTGTGTCTTTGACCTGTGGCATATAGCACTGGGCCAACCTGAGAATCAGAGGCCAGACTCAGTGGCATGGGATGCTAAGTACTTTACTTCCAGCCCCAGCCTTTCAGCCTGCACAAGTCAGATGTGTGCTTCAGGAAAACTGTAATCTACTCCACATCATGATATTTCCAGGTCCCTTCTATACAGCCAAGACGGACTGCTAAAGCTGTAGCTGCCACGGGTCCCCAGAGCCCTATCCCTTATCTTGCCAAAACCTAATCCTATCTGTCTCCACGGGATTTCTTCAATATGGAAAAGGGAACAATTATGAATCTCTCTATAGGTGCAGAGTTAAAATAACATCAAAGGTTTATTCTGCTATGAAGAAATAGAGGACTGGACTTTCCTAAGCCACAACGACCTATTCATTCCACTCCGCCAGGCTTTAGCCAGCATGCTGCCCCATAAGGCAGCCGCCAGCCTCCTGGGGTTCTCAAGCCCTGGAAACACAGCTGGTCTGAACGGAGATGTGCCAAGTATGAAACAGCACGCCAGAGCCCCCAGACTTCGTATGAAAGAAGGACATAAACTTGCTCATTAATTTTTTATATTGAGTACATATCAAAATAATATTTTAGATACACTGGATTAAGTAAAATATATTATTAGAATTAATGTTGTCTGTTTCTGTTTGCTGTTTAAAATGTGGCTCCTAGAAAATTTAAAACTGCCCATTTGTGGCTCACTATCTATTTCTATTGGACAGCGCTGCTTTAGACAGAACCCAACAAATCCTTCACGGTTTTATTTCTAGAGGAAAGATGAGCATACTAAAGGTTTAAGGTATCCTTTGTAAACATCAGACCCTTCTTGTGGACAGCCCATGAGTCTCTCTGCATAATGGAAGGACCAGTCAACCACAAGGAGCCTCCTGCCACAGCTCATCCCAGCCTGCCTAGCGTTGGCCTCTGTAGGCTCACAGCCTCTTCCCTGGCAGGGTCAGCAAGGGTCCCGTGAGCTCTGACAACTTCACAGTCTTCTACTTCTCTGACTTTACCATCCTCTATTCATTTTTTTAAATGTCTCCAAATAATACAGAAATAAGAAACTTACAGGTTTTGAGATGGTGAATCCGCTGCTGGGATGCACAGGTATTTAACTCCCTGCAGAATAATAAAAAGTAAATACATAAAAATAAAAACATGAAACTCAGTGGAGAAAAGTATTTAAGGAACTATTTACACAGGTCAAAAAATAAAAAAATAAAAAGGAGAAGTTTTTCACTCATCTTTTGTTGCCAAGGAACTGCAGAAAAACTAATTAAAGTTCCTGGTTATTTTCCGTGACCATGCGTACAAATAATCCTGCTTTGGTTTGCAAACAGCCTGTAGGTTTAGGCAAAATTCAAAGGGCACATCAAAAAAGTGAAATAGTTGAGTACTTTTCAGTAAGTTTCAACTACTTTCAAAACCAGCATCTCAGATGTTAGTTTATATATTCCAAATTTTTTATATATTTCATTTAGGATTCTGAATGTTCAAAAAGGAAGCACTGTTCGTAAGTAAAAACCTTAACAAGAGTGAAAACTATAATGTCACATTACAGCTTTCTACATCAATTTTAGTACCATGACAGCTACAATTTCACTGACGCACCAATACGAGCTTTACCCTGGGGATAATTTGTTTTATTTTGCTTGCTTTTCAGGACAATAAAGGTTTATATATCAAACAAAAATACTTTTTTCTTTTTTAAAGAATGGCCAAATTTGAAAAAAATAAACTTCATATACTCCTCTATAAAACTCAGAAAAAGGTTTATGTAAATCCATGCTACAACAGGCATGCTAAATGTGAGATTTATTTAAAAAAAAAAATGGCTGTTTCTCTTTCGGAGGGACTGAAAGAATGTTTCAAAAGCTCTGTCAAGTAGAAACACAAAACATAAAAATCTGATATTCTCTTTGTAAGAGATTATGGCCTGATGAAGAATTAGATGAATCATTTTTAAATTATTCCTCTCTTAATTGCCTAATCTCACAGAATCTTGCCACCGTGTCACAGACAATGTTAGGGGTACACATCAGACACTGGAGAAGTAGCCAACCTTGGAGAATAAAAGCACAGAGGCAGAAGAGGGACACAGACAACCTCAGGTTCTCAGAAGATGGAGTTACAACGCAACGCATCTTCAGTAATTAGTCACAAATAATTTCTGCATTTTTAATTAAACTTTTACCATTAACTCCTATTGTTAGGAATTTCTGTGCTGTATTTGCCAATAGGGACAACTAAATGTGTAGCTGCCCCTAATCCTTCCACACCTCCTACACATTTTAATAGCCCCTGACATTGTGAGTCCTACTTTTCCAATACAGGCACCAGACACACTTCATGTCCCAACCTCCCTCGCGATTAGGGACTCCCCACCTGGCCCTCAGGAGTCGGATCGGCAGCTACTGAGTGGGATCCGGGAAGCACACGTGGGCTTCGTGGGCGCAGGGCGGGGGCAGAGCACATGCTCTTTGCGGGGCAGGTGGGGCAGGGGTGGGCTGGCTCGGGGCAAAGTGGGCGCTGAGCTTGGGGCCAGTTTTCTGGGGATCACTCCTGAACTTCAGCCTAAAACCTGTTCTCCATCTATTCTGAGGGAACCATGAGCTTTCAGTCTCTCTTAGTAAAAGCTGTTTCCTGCTGAAACTGAGTCAGAGCAGGATCTGTTCACTGCAACTAACACCTAAGTGAGAGAATTCCCTCTTGCCTCATCCACAATGATGAGGGGTCAGAAAAACATCTTTCCCCTCACAGTTTCTGTATGCTTTGAATCAAAAACGTTTTCTCCCTCACAGTTTCTGTACATTTTGTTTCCAGCTTTAAATCAATCTTTACACCTTCCAATAAAGGCCCTTTTGGGTCTTGAAGGAGATGAACTTTATTGCTGTTTATCCACATGGGAACATCTCACTTAAGACCAAATGGGCTTCAACCATGCCAAGGGTTAATTTAGAATCTGCTGGTGGAAGAGGAAAGTGAGGCAGCAGCTTCTCCCTCCTTTGCCTTCACTTTGTTATCCCCAGTTGCCTCCTCCTGTCTCTGTCCTCATTTCTCCTGGGCTTGTGGGCTGTGCTCTGCTGGGAACACTGAAAGTATCTTCAAACCTAGAGTGGTATTACAGCTCGGACTTCAAGGGAAAACAAACGGAAAAGGAAGTATTATTGTTAAAAGTAATTTCAGTCCTTTCCTTCGTGGAGGCCAAACAAGCTTGTTGGTATAGATGCACATACATTGATCACCTCCTGCAGCCACCATTGAAATGACTCATTCACTTCTTTCCTTTTACTCTTAAGTGAGAGTTGGCAGTCGATCAGTCCAGAAGCTTGTGAAATCCTTTCCTCCCACACTCTCCCTCCACGCTCCTTGGAGACCAGCACCTCCAGACAGACCAGAAGGAGCCTCAAGTTCCCACCTTCCCTTCTAGTGCCATCTTCAGTGTCAGCGACTTCCATCTGGCAAGGAAGCTTAAGACGAGATGGAAATGCCGGCGTCCCCCAGATGTTGACTGACAGCCACTTTATTCCAGCAGAATCTAAAATCAGCCTAGTCTATATATCAAGAGGAAAGAAAAAAAAAAAAAAAGAAGGACAGGAAGAGAATGGACAGAGGGTCTGCTGAATAGCTCTTTGCTGGCTATAAATACCAGCCGTGGGACTGGACAGTATTGTGCTTCCTATGGGCAGTCTCCATGTGTGGTTGTGTTCCCCTTTGTGGCACCCGATGAGCAAAAGGACCAACTCAGGCTGGTCCCATGAGGCAGGAGCACCTTGTCAGGTGGGCACGAGAATCTACCCACAGGAAGACGGCAAAGGCTATCTCTCCATCTGGGAACCACCAGGATGAGGAGGCAGCTCTTGGCCATGCTGGCCCCTGCCCACAGTCGCTGGGGTGGGCGTGTGGAGCTGCAGCCTCCCATCTGTGAATCCTCTGAAGAGGAACAAAATGGCTCCCAACCACAATTTGGGGACCACCTGCTGCTAAGGCAGGACAGATAAAAATAGAAAACCTGAGTCAAGATTATATTCTGTTGAAGACAGAATGACAACAGCAATGATAACAAGCTTCCCTGCAAGGGTGCCCGGCACACAGCAGGCACTCACTGAAATGTCTGCAGAGTGATGAGACAGAGGATGAGAA
This sequence comes from Homo sapiens, assembly GCF_000001405.40. Lineage (NCBI taxonomy): Eukaryota > Metazoa > Chordata > Mammalia > Primates > Hominidae > Homo > Homo sapiens. The sequence continues at coordinate 332,089 of NC_000006.12, read as the reverse complement.
CAATGAACACAAAGATCACACTGCCAGATGAGTGCAAGGAAAGAAAAATACTGTAAAGCACCATCATTTGTGCCAGTGACCACGAAACGAGAGCTGGGCTTCAGCCCACACCATGCAAACAGCAAGCCACCCACACATGCTCAAGGGACACCAGCGTCCCTCCTGGCCACTGCAACAGGACGCAGCTGAGAGCCAGTCGGCGTGATCCACAATAAGAATATGCAAACTCAGTCAAGGAAGGAGTCAAAACTGTCAAAAAGGTTCAGCTGCTCGCCACCTAAGAACATCTATTTATCTTGGTTTAGTTATTAACAAAGCATGAAAAGTCTCTCCCAAGCCACAGACTACAGAATTTGAGTTACCTTAGAACAGCTTCAGATACCTGCACATGTGTACAATTCATGACAGTTAATTACTAATTCAGAAAGCAGCATGAGTCCCCCAGTGCCACAAGAAAGCTGGCCCACTTAAAAGTATCCTAGTACTAATGAATAAGTTCTGCAAATGTTTTAATGTGATGTGGAATAGATGGTTTCACCAAATAGGTCCTCAAGACAGGACCACTCTCCGGTTTTGAAGTTTACAGAAATAGAAATAAAGGACAGGATAAGTTTAGATAAATTATGGAAAGTATAACAAACTTGGAGGTTAAAAAAAAAGCAATAAAAATTCTAGAACAATCTGAAAAATTTGTAAGTAATGAAGATAACAGCAATGTTTCCATTAGTACAGTGTTTGCTGTAAGGTATTCACTCCCTCATACTACCTCTAATATTTGAAAAAGTAAAGATAAAATGGGTTGTCTTCCTGTAGCAATAAAAGTCTCACTAAATAAATAAGAATTCAGCACTTTCCACGATGTTCCAAAACAGTGGATTGGTGGAAAGCCAATTAACATCACAGTTTTATGAGGCTATTAAACGTCAAGTTACGGTGCTTCAATCTCGAGTACACTGAAATACAAAAACAAGCTCAGTTAAGAAAAATGGGCTCTGTGTTTGCTTCAAGACCGTCATGATTTCTATGAGGACAAAGAAAGAGCAGCGATGATGGCATTTTAAGTGGCGTAACATGACGAAGTGAGTACCAGGAGAGGAAAAGGGGGAAGAAGTAAGGAACAGTCTCTACCTGTGTTGAGGGGACCAGGTGTACACCGTATATTACTAACGCCAAGCAGCATGTATAAAACAATTAGTATAGAACAACCGGTATAAAACCACGTGATGTAAAAATTTGGAAGATGCTGCAAAGAGGCAGGAGAGATGGGGGATCTGCTAAGGACAGCTTTCTAGTGAAGGTTTTGTGTTTAGGTTTTGAAAGAAACAACAGACGTCACTTGGAGGAGAAGAAAGTTCAGAAGGTTTTCCAGCGGCTCTTCAAACCAGAGCTTAGAGCTGCCTGAGTCCATCTTCTCAAAAGTTCTAAATACTTTTCAGTTTTCTGTTTCAACAAGTATAGTAACCACCAAAAGTAAGGTTTTTACCTTTCTTTGGGCCTGAAACTAAAGATTACACTTAAAACGATACGGAGGCAGGTCCCTGAAAAGCAGGGCCAAGGTTCTGATTTCACGACTGGTAAAGAAAGAGATCAAACTCTCGCTTGTTTCAAGCATGATTTCTAACATTCACTGTTCTTTTCTTTCTGAGGCGTTGTAAGAAGGAGAGTCTTCTCAAGAGCCCAGCTGACATTCTGCTTTGCACAAGGAAGATAAACCCTTCAGAAGCCATGTCTCTCTCCTCTCAAAGCCAACAGAAACCAGTTACAGGACAGAACTGGATCCCTGCAGGAGCCTCTTCAAAACACAAGGAGGGGGAGAGCAAGTTCCTAAGGGCCAGGATCAGGAAACCACGCAATGGAAACGTCATTTTGGCTGCTAATAAACATGTCACCACTAGAAGCCCCGGTTTCTCATCTCAGCCTGTGCGGCAGCAGTGACGGTATGGTGAGCCCAGGGGGGTCCTCCTCCAGCAATGGTGTCTGTTATTTGAAAATGAGTCCCATGAGGGAGGTGCCGGGTGCCCTGCTTCACCGGCCTGTGTGGCCCCTGTACACACACTCTGTATTCACACTGACCCTCCACCACAATTAACAACTGAGCGAAACCAGCCAGCGAACTCTCAAGAGCGACTTTCACCACATTCCCAGAAGCCTGACCCTGAAAAAAAAAAAAAGAATTAAAAGCCAAATTTAAATTTGAACCACTCCTCCCCTGATCAGAAGCAAGGTCACAGCTTGTAACACTATGATGAGAAACACACACAGCAGAAGACTCTCTCATTGGAGACAGCCTCTCTCTATACTATTTTGTGGTAAAATACACATAAGATTTATCATCGTAGGCTGGGCATGGTGGCTCATGCCTGCAATCCCAGCACTTTGGGAGGGCAAGGCAGGTGAGCCACGAGGTCAGGAGTTCGAGACCAGCCTGGCCAACATGGTAAAACCCCGTCTCTACTAAAAAATACAAAAATTAGCCAGGCGTGGTGGCATGCACTTGTAATCCCAGCTACTCAGGAGGCTGAGGCAGGAGAATCGCTTGAACCCAGGAGGTGGAGGTTGCAGTGAGCCGAGATCACACCACTGCACTCCAGTCTGGGATATAGCGAGACTCTGTCTCAAAAAAAAGCAAAGATTTACCATCGTAACCATTTAAGGCGTACAGTTCAGTGGCCTTAAGTACATTCACACTGTTGTGCAGCCATCACCTCACCCGTCTCCAGGACTTTTTCATTCTCCTAAAGTAAAACTCTGCACCTATTAAGTAATAACTCCTCATTCCTCGCAGCCCTTGACAACCACCTTTCACCTTTCTATCTCTATGAATCTGACTGCTGCACTTTCATATAAACCTGACAGCAAGCAAACTGTGAAAACCGTCTGGCCACACTCTTGAAGATCGTAGACCCAGGAGATGGCAATCAGGAACCTGAAATTGCTTTTTGAGGCACCCTGCAGGTTTGATGAGCTGTCTCCTCTTTGCAAGGTGTCTTTATTCCACAGAAAGCATAAGAGAATGCTCATTTACGTGTGTGGCAGCCCAGCTCGGTGCGTGGCACATGCATTTTGATTATTTCTCCTCCAGGTATGACTTTCACATAGCCCATAACATTTGTAGAAATTATGTAAGGTTAAAGGGAAAAAGCAGAATTCGAAATCCCATCCCAAGGAAGATTACACCTGGAAAAACTTACGTATGCCTATGGACTAAGTACTGGAAGTCAACACAAAAAATAGGCAAGGTCCAGCAGACAAGACCTCTCCTCTCTTTTTTGTTTGCATCACAGCAAAAGTCCCAAATAAATTACTGCAGAAAGCCGCCACGGCAGATAAATATGCTCCATTAGTTAGGCTGCATTATTCATGTTTTAAGTCCAGGTTCTAAACTGAAGATGTATTTTCTTAAAGCACCCATTTGCCACTGATTCTTCCTGCATCAGCTAAATTTAGGAAACCGTACTACAAATAATAACTTCCAAGAACTCTGTGGTACTGATGGGGCGGGGAGGGAGCAGGAGGTCAGAGTGGAGAGACAAGATTTAGCCTCTGGTTTGATACTGTGAGACAACATGCAAATGAGAAACCTCCAACACCTGTGACTTCTTTCAGGTTAGTCAAAAACCGACATGCATTTGACTTGTCAGATCAACAGATGAGAACTCAAAAGCTTATTTTTGTTCAAGATATTTCAGTGCAAGGCTAAAGTGGGCACGGTCAGAATGTTGGATTTCCTCCAGCCAGTACGGGCTGGGTTATGGGAAGGCAGTGAGGGAGATTCACTCTAGCTCCGTCTCACCACTGAAAGCCCTACCGGGTGCTTTCAGTTCAGCTGCAGGACTTGCTGATGTACACAATTGTGACTCATGAAAACTGGGCCAGTTTCAGCAGTCACTTGGGACCAAGGCATTCCGTGGTATTACTTAATGAAGGTGAAGCCTGAACAACCCATCTCAAAAAACTGCCATGAGTGAAAGCTGCTGCTTAGAAATCAGCAGCAGATATTCTAGGAGTGTTCTCTGTACGTATCACCAGGGAAAAATTTATCTCTTACAAACATTATCTGATCACACATCTCAGCTGCTGAAAAATATTCAGTGGCTCCTCTCTGTCTGCAAAGTAGAGAAGACCCATTTTCACAGTGCTTCAGCATCTGTCCACAACCCCCTTCCTGACCTCACATCCATGATCTCTCCCTCCTACCACCCCTCGCTCCTCAAACTCCAGCAACCCTGGGCTGCTGTTAGTCTCCCCACATGTTCTGTGCTTCCCTGCTCCCGGCCATCCTGCCAAGTCCCTGTGGTTTTCTCTCTCTGGAATAGGCTTTCTGCGTGGCTCTTCTCAGTAAAACCTCCCTGACATACCCACCAGGCTCTCTGTGGAGCCTTCCCTCACCTCCTCGGCCTCCCCCTTAGCAGACTTCAGCCCCACGCTGGGCCCCCACACCACCAGCAGCACACAGGCGCATGGCCCTGGCACAGAGGACTGGCACTGCGTGTGAAGGGCCAGTCTCTCTCACTAGACCCCAGATTCCTCGAACTCCCACGGCTGTGGTCATCATCTATCAGTCTCCTGGCACCTCTCTCCTGTAAACGGTTCCAAATGAAGAAAGGAATGCATGAGGAGGGACATGCCATTTCAGAATTTTAAACATGTGGCCACCAACCCAATGCGCCCTGACAGCACTGCTCCCAGGCTGGCCACGGCACCTGCAGGTAGCCCTGGAGTCACCGTCCAGTGCGGGCCGGCCTCCACCTTCACTCTCCTCCAGCTGTAAATGGGGCTCTGCTGGACGTGGTGAGTGCACGCTCCCACACAGAAAACCATGACAGGCAAAGACAAGGCAAAGATGCTGGGCATTTCTGGGGCTGCATTAAACTGGGGGCTACCCAGCCCCAAGATTCAGACCTGGCTGGGCTCCTGGAAGCTCTTAGTTTCCTCTCAGTAATGCTCCTGCTGCCCAACAGCGAAGCCCAGGGTGGGTGAACTAGGGCCCATGTTCACGGGGCACAGCTGTGCCCACTGATTCACGTATTGTCTGTGGCCCCTCACCTCATGGTGGAGGCTACAGTAGCTGCAGCAGAAGTCCCCAAAGCCCCAAATATTCCCTGGGCCTTGACAGCCAAAGCGTGCCAAGCCTCGGTCTAGACAGTCCCATTGCACAAAGTCATTCTGATGGTGACAGCTTGTTTTGCACATCCCATTTGTCTTCTCCATTTAAATGACATCTGATACAGCACACCACCTTCTTAGAATTGCAGCATTCTTAATCTGCAGCTGTGCTCAATTCTCCTTTGCTCTGATGCAGAGAGGGACAGAAGGATTTCCCTTGAACACAGGACTTTAAACAAGGAAAGTCAATGTGACATGTGAAAAATACTAAGTGCAGTGCCAGAACACAGTAGATGCTCAATAAATGGTAGTAGACAGGATTTGCCAGTGACTCTCCCTCAAGGGCAATCCCATCTGCATAATTACCAGCAGATACAGCACTGCACACACCAGGACGCAGAAGCCCAGGGCAGATGACTCTCCAGGCACCAGCAGATACAGCACTGCACACACCAGGACGCGGAAGCCCAGGGCAGATGACTCTCCAGGCACCCGCAGATACAGCATTGCAGACACCAGGACGCAGAAGCCCAGGGCAGATGACTCCAGGCACCAGCAGATACAGCACTGCACACACCAGGACGCGGAAGCCCAGGGCAGATGACTCCAGGCACCAGCAGATACAGCACTGCACACACCAGAACGCAGAAGCCCAGGGCAGATGACTCTCCAGACACCAGCAGATACAGCACTGCACACACCAGGACGCAGAAGCCCAGGGAAGATGACTCCAGGCACCAGCAGATACAGCATTGCACACACCAGGACGCAGAAGCCCAGGGCAGATGACTCTCCAGGCACCAGCAGATACAGCACTGCACACACCAGGACACAGAAGCCGAGGGAAGACGACTCTCCAGGCACCAGCAGATACAGCATTGCACACACCAGGACGGGGAAGCCCAGGGCAGATGACTCTCCAGGCACCAGCAGATACAGCACTGCACACACCAGAACGCAGAAGCCCAGGGCAGATGACTCTCCAGGCACCAGCAGATACAGCATTGCACACACCAGGACGCAGAAGCCCAGCGCAGATGACTCTCCAGGCACCAGCAGATACAGCACTGCACACACCAGGACGCAGAAGCCCAGGGAAGATGACTCCAGACACCAGCAGATACAGCATTGCACACACCAGGACGCGGAAGCCCAGGGCAGATGACTCTCCAGGCACCAGCAGATACAGCACTGCACACACCAGAACGCAGAAGCCCAGGGCAGATGACTCTCCAGGCACCAGCAGGTACAGCACTGCACACACGAGGATGCGGAAGCCCAGGGCAGATGACTCCAGGCACCAGCAGGTACAGCACTGCACACACGAGGATGCAGAAGCCCAGGGCAGATGACTCCAGGCACCAGCAGATACAGCATTGCACACACCAGGATGCAGAAGCCCAGGGCAGATGACTCTCCAGGCACCCGCAGATACAGCATTGCACACACCAGGACGCGGAAGCCCAGGGCAGATGACTCTCCAGGCACCAGCAGATACAGCACTGCACACACCAGGATACGGAAGCCCAGGGCAGATGACTCTCCAGGCACCAGCAGGTACAGCACTGCACACACCAGGACGCAGAAGCCCAGGGCAGATGACTCCAGGCACCAGCAGATACAGCACTGCACACACCAGGATGCAGAAGCCCAGGGCAGATGACTCTCCAGGCACCCGCAGATACAGCATTGCACACACCAGGACGCGGAAGCCCAGGGCAGATGACTCTCCAGGCACCAGCAGATATAGCACTGCACACACCAGGACGCGGAAGCCCAGGGCAGATGACTCTCCAGGCACCAGCAGATACAGCACTGCACACACCAGGACGCAGAAGCCCAGGGCAGATGACTCTCTAGGCACCAGCAGGTACAGCACTGCACACACGAGGATGCGGAAGCCCAGGGCAGATGACTCTCCAGGCACCAGCAGGGAGAGGGCCACACTGCTCTTCAAGCTGTGTGCTGTACCTATCTCCCTGAGCCAGCCTCCCCTTCCCGGCAGGATGCGGCAGCCTGCCTTAAACACAGCTCCCTCCTTAGGGAGGCACGAAGCGCTGCTGGGAACACTGTGCCTGTTTTGCAGTTGGCTAAGCCAGTGAGCTCTCGGAGCCCCTCGCTGGTGATGGAATGGGTCCCTCAGCTGCAGATGGGTTACAGGCTTTGTAGACTGCCGCTTGTCTTCAGGCTTGGACACAATCTGCAGCATCTAGGAAGCCCTTTCTAAACAGCACGGATGATCCCTCCAGCCGAACACCACATCCTCCCTCTGGGATCATACTCTAGAAGCTGTTTTGAGAAAGAGGCAAACACTGACCCAGAGCAGGGTGCTGCCCTCCAGGGCTGGCCAGTTCTGCATGGGCAGGGCTGAGGCTCAAGACACGCAAAGGCTGGACGTGGTGAGTGCCACGGGAGCTCAGGGCAGAAAGAACGTCCACGGGGTGGGAGAGTGGAGAGAAATGAGAACAGCGGCTCTTCTGTTTCTCCTCAACACCAGGAGGGACACCCCTCTGTTATGCAGCAAGTTAATATTAGAGACGTGCTGCATTCCTGTGCTCCGCGGCACTCACTGCCTGAGGTTCGCGGCAGCAGGTGTGGGTGGGAGAGCGTGTTCCTTGCTCTGATTAAGGATGAGCGGGTCACTGCTCCCAGGCCTCCCCAGGAAGGGCGGCACTCCTCCAAGCCCTCCACCCTCTCCACGCCTGCCGCTGCTAGCATGGCACAGAAGGAGGCCCTAGGTCACCTCGGTCAGAGCCCACATGTGGAAGCACAGGGGAAGAGAGTGCTCCGGCCACCAAGGAGGCTAGAGGACACTCACTGGGGTAGCCATGCGGCTGCAAGCCCACTGCTGAAGTAGGAGCAGCTGCAGAGGTTTCCATCAGAAAAGGCAGGAAACCTCAGCTTAAAGGAACAGTTTTTAAAAACCAGGAAGCCAAAAACCAAAAACACTTGGAAATGTTATCTTCCTTTGCTAGTTATGAGATCTTTTCTTCTTCAGGGCATAGGGTGGAGCCATTCCATAGTGCAATTTAATTGCACTCTCCATCTGCTCTCACTGACAATCATGTAAAGGAGACTTCGAACTGCTTCCACTTGGGTGCTGCGGGGCTGATCTCCTGGAACAAGGTATTTCATAAAATAGATATATTTGATTTGTACCTATTCTACCCCGGCGAGGCTCTGCCTCCTCCCAGGTCAGCACAGCTGAAATGATCCTTGAACTCCTCTGCTTAGGAATAATTTCCAAGAGTAGGAGTCTCAAGCCAAGGTCTGAGCTCTGCTCTGTTCACCCCAGAGTTACAAACTGACAGGGAAATCTGTGCCTATACAGCCATCCTAAGATGGCAAAGGGACGCCCTAAGAGCCACTTCCCCGCGTCCTCTCCTTGCACTGATAGTGGCTGCACCTCTCACGGAAGGAGCCAAGGGCCTTGTGGATTAACCCCCACTAGCCGGGGAAAAACCTGAGAACAAAAAGTTGGACCTCAAGAGAAAGAAGCTCTAACTCAGATTTCAGATGCACCTACTTCGTTCCCACGCCCAGAACTTTCACCATGCATTTCATTTGCTTTCCCATGGGAAAAGAAGGCCAGAGCTAGCTGGCGATGCCCCTGCTCAGTGATGAATGCTGAAACTTGACGCTGGCAGTAGCTGCGGTGATAACTGAAAGGAGGGAAATAACTTCTCAATTCAAACCTAGGGTTTGATACTGTCCACCTCAACACACACACACACACACACACATGCACACACGCCTTTAAAACATCCCAGGGAGTCTGGCCACACAGAGGGGAACACATTTTTAAAAGCATGGACAGAGCTTGTTCACAGCCTGTAATAAGGTGATGAAACTAGCTAGGTGCTATTGCTTCACTCTCAGAGTTTTAAAATAAGATTGGAGCACTTCCCTTGCAGGTGTGGGCAAACACAAGGTCCACCTGCATTGCCTAGCAGGCAATGATTATTCAGAGCACCTGAAAACAGCAGATTTGCTTAAACCAGTCTTTGGTAAACTAGGGCGCATTTTCTTATGGCTAAAAACAACAATGGTGCCCAGAGAGCCCTTTAACCCGGCTTTGGGTCTTAACCAACCTACCCCCTTTAACTTCCCATTCAAACTTCCTATTGCAGACTCGAAGGCCCCCCCCCGCCCCACCAAGCAGCCATAACCCACGGAATCTCCCTGGACTAGATGTCCTCTTCCATCACCACCACCACCATGATGCTTAAGCTTTCTGCTAGTCAGCCAGCCACACACGGTGCTGTCCCGACCCGGAACAAGAAACACTCTTTCCCTCCGTGGATGCTCTCCACGGATATTCTCCTTGGTTGTTTCTACCAACCTAAGCCTGTCTTCTCTTTCAAACGCCTTACAGAATTGCATCTCCTCTGAAAGCATTTCAGACTTGCTATTCACGTCACCTAGTCTCCCCTTTCCAGTGTCCACAGCACCTAAAACAGCCAAACACGAGGGTCTTCTTGGGTTGGAATCTGTGAATGAGAAGCTGCAAAATCTCAGCTTGGGGGAAGCAAAACTCAAGCTCTACACTGGGGCCAGAGTACCCTGAGGCGCCCCTGCAGGGAACCCCAAGGACTGCACTCAGAAGAGCTGAGACTAACTAGAACCCACACAAGGGGTTACAGGAGTAACAAAGATGTGTGTCTCCCAAGATCACGTGTTCACAGGCTGTGAATTCCATTGCATAACACCACATAAAAGCAAGACGCTGGAGGATGGCCCCACCATCATTCCCTAGTCATGCTGTCCTAGCATTTTCTCCCATGGTTTTATTTAAGAGCAATGGCTTAGATACACTATGTAGATGATATGTATACACTATGTAGATATGTATACACTATGTAGATATGTATACACTATGTAGATGATATGTGTACACTATGTAGATGATATGCATACACTATGTAGATACACTGTGATACTGTGATGCCCAAATCTTCACGTCCAGCCGAGACCTCTCTCCTGAGCCCTGGACCTGTATTTCTATCCAGTGATGAATATCACATGAACATTCCACCCATGACTGAGCTTGGTCCCTTTCTTCCACCCAGCTCTGTTTCCTGGAGCACTCACATCCCTGGATGGCAGAGCCATGGGTACTTATAGCCTAATTAGCTGTACCCTCAGGCATCCCTGACTCCCCAGTCTGAGAAATGACTCTCTTTCTGTATTTTGAAGACGTCTGATGAGTTTATGGCTGTTGTAACTTCTCAATGGATTGTTCCTTTTTTTTTAATGTAGTTTCCCTCTTTACCCTAATTATTATTATTTTTTCTTTTGCTTTCAATTCCATTTTATCTCACAAAAACTATCACTATGCCATGTTCCTTTTGCTTGATTCTTGCTAGAGAATCTTTCCCCTTCTTTCATTTTCAACTTTGTTATGTCACTTTATGGAAGATTTTCAGATCAAATCTGACTCTTTCACTTCTAAAAAATATCCAGTCCCCAGCATCCCAGTTCAGACCCTCATCACTTCTAACGAGGATTACTTCAAGAGCTTTCGAGGGTCTCTGGGGTACCCAACTCCCTCACTCCACTCTAACCTTGAGACAACATCCTGCAAAAGAAATCGGAATGTGTCACCTGGCTTTGTTCATGAATCTTTGCTGGGTCTCTGCTTACTGCAAGATGAAGTTCAGACTCCACAGCTTAACAAACAATGTCTTTGCTAATCTGCTCTGAGCCTGCTTTTCCAGTCCAGCCACCCTGGTGAGCTCCCAAAGTGCCAGGACACACCTTCCCTTGCATGCCCCATCCCTTAGTGCACCCTGTACCTCTGCACACACAGCTTTCTCTACCCAGAATCCCACCTCCAACTCACCTGTCATCTCCATCACTGCCTGGCAAACCTCTATGATCATTTAGGACCACACCAGATTTTCACCTTTGGTGAAGCCTTGCTGTCTTGTCTGCCCTGCAGTGTTAGCCGCCTCCCCTGGGTGCCCAGGGCCCTTGCCTCTGGTATGCATTTTTAAGGATTTACACGCCTGTCAATCCTTAATGTTGGGACACATCTCACTTCTCTTTGTATTTTATCCCCAATCCCTGCTGCAAGGTAGGTGCTCAATAAATGTTTGCTGAGTCTGGAGGAGTAACAACTTCCAACGTAGCCAAAAGGAGAACTGAAGACAGCACCACCCTCACCCGTACTGACCACCGCCTCCACTCTATCATCAGGTGGGGCTCATCTCCCCCTCCCTGACCTGCCCTGAAGCACTAAACCTACAGAAGACACACCCCTCACCCTCCCTCCCCACTGAGTCAAACCGCACTAGTCCTATAAGGCTGCCTCAACACCCCTCTCTTTACAAAGTCTTCCCCAAATCTCCCAGCCCATGACCATGCAGCCCTTGCGTGGACTGGCAGAGCCCATGCCATCTATGATAGGCACTTTGGCACCCAAAGGCAACCAGGCTGCAGTGGTGTCTATGCACACTACACTCAGTCCGAACACGGAGGAGCCCACGCGCTGCATGCTTCTCCCAAGACCTTGGTTTCGATATCCTGGCAGATCTTGCCCTTCACACATTCCCCAACGTGGACAGGGTGAGATGCAAACCAGGAAACCCACTCCAAGAATGCAGAGTCCTCCACACACCTGTGCCAGGTGACTGCTCAAGTACAGCCGTCAGGAGGAAATGCTCAGACACCGGGACTCAACATGAAGGCAACATCTAGGAAGAGTGTCCTGCAAAAGTCTTCAGTTGTAAGGAGAGGCTGGTCAGTGAGCACGAGCCCTAGAGAGAAGGTCCCCAGCTGAAGGACAGGGTACCTCTAGGAAGCCAGGCCAAAAGAGTTCTTTGATTTAGAAGTTTAAAAAACCATGTCCTCCCTAGACTCAGTTAAGTACTGGAAGATCTCAAGCCCTCTGAGTCCAGCCATGCAGGAGTTCTAGGGCTCCATTTGCAAGTGAGTCTGTGGTAGCAGGACCAGCCAGTGGAGGGGCCGCTCTTACACACCCGACTGCCACACGAGAAACCTAGATACAGCTTGCTTCAAGAAAGAGCGATTACTAGACAGTTTTCGATCCCTGCTATAATCATTTCTATTTGAGTCATATCTATTTAAATCTGGGGTTGGCTTCAAACAAATTTGCCTCAACACACGAAAGCTGCTGTAAGCTTTTGGTACAGCAAAGTACCACTGATTCTGGGTGGCTTCAAAGAGGTTTTCCTAGAGAGATGAAAACAACTGAGGTGTGCTGGAAACAACTGTCAATCTGAAAACCATTCCAGGTCAAACAGCAACTGGTTTTCAAAAGACTTGGACCTTTCTAGCAACTTGACACCCACAGTGTTTTTCGGTAAGATAGCTGAATTCACCCACGCTGGAAACAATGGCCAACGCAAATGGGAAATCTTGCCCAGTGCTTCAAGCTGTATCCCCCGGGCATCTGTGAGTCCTAAAAAAGGGCACAGATTCATTTTGTGTCCAATCATTCAGGTAGAAATAGATCACACAGGAAAGAAAGTCTAGACCAGTAAATACATGTCTTGGGCCATCTTCTCCCTTTGAAGATTGAAGATTAAGATGACTGAAATAAAGTGGATGACATACTTTGCTTTGTACCAATCGGCCGTGGACAACAGGATGTAGCTTGCCTGACATCATGCATCACACATGCATCTATGAACACAGCGCAGCCAAACACAGATCACCTTCCAGCCAGGCCTGAACATTCAAATGAAATCTACCTGTCATTACCAGACACCCAGAGCATGGCCCACAGACCCCCTTCCCTTCTTTCTCCCACTGTCTTCACTCGAATAGATACTTGGACATGATCTTATTGTGACAAATAAATTCAAGAATTTTTTTTTTTTTTAAATAGAGGAAAAAGTGGGAATCATCCTTCCCTCCCTCCCCTCCCATTCTAGTTCTCTAGGAAATCACCAGTTTGAGGAGTCTGGCCTGGTCCTTTCAAACCCTTATCTGTGCATTATCATGCATATAAATGTAATACAGAAATACACCATTGACTTTAAACTTTACATAAATGTGATTATATGATGGGTATCATCCTATAACTTGCTTCCTTTTCTTAACAGTGGACTTAACCCTGTGAACACACAGACGTCTTCCTTTTCTTGTTGAATTGCTGCCGAGTATTCCTTAATATGGATGAACCAGCACTGACCACTCCCCTTCTGCTGAATATGTGGGTTGGCTCCAATTTGTTGCCATTACAAACAGCGCTGCCATGAATGGCTGCACACTTGAACATCTGTACACATCTGTGTGTATGAGATGTGTGGCTTTGGGGGTTTATCCTCCTTGTGCCTGGAGAAGGGCAACCTATAGCTTCTGTGACTTGCAGGTTCTGGACAGGAAAGGCCCTGGGGTCCTGAGAGCTGAGGCCTGCTGTGGTCACCTGGGGAAAGGCCCTGGGGTCCTGAGAGCTGAGGCCTGCTGTGGTCACCCCCTGGGGTCCTGAGAGCTGAGGCCTGCTGTGGTCACCTAGGGAAAAGGTAGGGCTGGAGGTGATGGCCTGCATGTCAGCCTCAATGGCTGCTGGAGGAGGGCCACAGGCAATGAGGCTCTCCCTTTACAACCAGAACACAAGTCCCTGTGCCCTGAATGTCCTCTTAGCTTTTCCTAATGAGGATAAGCTCCATGAAGTCTGTGACAGCGTTTCCACAAGCTGTGTGCCAACCCTGGCATGGGGCTTGACCATGGCAAATCCTCCTTTAATTGACTGTCACTGTCTGTGTCTTGGATGCATGGTCCTCTTTGTAGAGCCAAGCTTTTAATGACAAGCAAAGGTAGCTCTCTAGATTTCAATCAGAAAGTCACAGGAGCTGCACAGGGGATTACTGGTTGTAACAACTTAGGAAAAGATCATTCTGAACCAGAGGCCACAGCAGCTCTGTAGAACAGGACATCCACAGGCACCGCTGCTTACTAAGGAAGTGAGGAACTACACAGACTGCCCATATAAGCGAGGCTGCATTGCACTAACCGATCCTCTGGCTTCACAAATTGCTCATGATAAAGAAATCACTCTTGACCCCACTCTACTTTCACATCCTAATGAGCCACAAGGGGCCAAAGACGTGATGAGACATGATTTCTCACTTTGGAACGGGGCTAAATGCGTGATAAGACATGATTTCTCACTTTGGAACGGGGCTAAATGGTGCAAATCTCGCCTTTCATCAGCAGACATCTGCAGAGGGGCCCCTGCGTGCTGGATCCAAGCCGAGTGCTGCAAGGACCAGAGAAACCCCAGCACGGCAGCTGCCTGTGTGGGCTCCCAGGCCAGCTCAGGAGCCCGATGTGGGCCATGAACACTTACGTCATAAAGCACAGGTTAAATGGATGCTTAATATCCTACAGAAGCAGGGACAGTGCACACGTGTCTCATGGCCCAACTGAGAGTACAAACTGAAGACATTACAGAAAAGGGGCCGAAGTCCTGAGCTCGGAGGACCCTGACGGTGTCCCTCTCAGAGGAAGGAGAGCTGGGGCTGAGCTCGGAGGGAGGGGAGAATTCATGTGAGCAGGAGAGGGTGGGAAGAGAGGAAAGAGAATACACACATGCCTTCTTCAACTTTAAACACCCTTTATCATCTTGCTTCTGGCTTGCTTTACATTTGGGAAGCCAACAAAACTTTTGTTCAAGAGAAATGGGGTGGATCAGCAAGAGGAACACGTGGCAGGAAACCAGGGTCCCTCCAGGAGACCTCGGCCTCAGGCCCACGTGGCCGCTGGGCACTGACCCGGGGAAAAAGGATGGGGCCGTCCAAGCAGACTGGGCGTCTCACCTTGGTGAGTTTCCTCATCAATAAGCAGGTAAATAAAGACAGAAGTACAGGCACACAGTTAACAACCAGAGGAAGAAGCCAACTACAAACAAAACTAACACAAGTAAAGTCTTGGCATCAACACTTCAAAAAATGTCTTCAATGTTAAAAGAAATATAAACAGAATCACCAAGAATAAATGTCTGCATATGAAAACATCCCATTCTTTTAAAAACACCATAAATGGTTCACACTGAAAACAGAAAATATCCAAGCTGAACTCTAGCTCATAAAATCTACCTGGTATATACATACAATACCCTGGTCTTCATAAATGAGTATAAATCATTTTTTCTCTACTTGATCCTACACTGTCATCTTACAGTATGTGTCATTTTTAAAAAGGTAAGGTTCTTCATGTTAGAAGCTTAGTGAAGGCATGAGAATACTTCTTAAAACTTTTTTTTTGTTAATAGTGAGAAATAGTTTTGTTTCCTGCAGGTGCTCTGCTTAAATACACAAAATGAAAAATGAAACACCGAAATTTTTACATTAGAAAGAGTTCTGTTTCTTTTTTTCAGGGGAAGGGAGAAACCTTTCATTGCTCAATATTAGTTTCTCAGCAACTACAAACAATATCAGGTTTCTGATTTGAAAAATCACTGTCTTTGCAATAGGAGTTTTCACCAGCCCTCAAACCTGGAGCCATCAGTAGACGCTGAAGACACCGCTCCCACCCGTCCCCACAAATAAGGAAACACTTTTCAGCACACAGGGGCAACTCCCTGACAAAGTCCTGAGCACAGAAACAGGCGAAGGAGGATTTTGCTTTTTCCTCTTAAACAGGTCTGGGCTTACTTTCTATTGAAATTAATATATGCGGCAATGATTTTCCGCCATTTTACTAGCATCATGTGCTCCGAAGTTTTGATACCAAAAGTGTAGTCCTGAAGGGCTATGGCTGGCAGGAAGACCCTTGCCTCTGTAGTGAGAAGGCCTTGGTTCCAGCCCTGGCCCTGCCACTTGCTGACAGATGATGTGAGAACCAGCCTGGTTAAGCCATAGAGGCACTAAATAACACCATCCACCTTGCTGGACTCAGAGTTCTCAGAGGAAGTCATGTCCTGGCATTCTCCACCAGCTGGAATGCCAGGGATCACATTTTCTGAATTCTTAGGCATCGCCAAAGGCCCAGTCAAATGTCTCCAGATTCAACGGCAGAAGAAGGATCTCATTCTCTGGGCTTCCACAGGCTCTGTTCCTATGGGATTTGCCACCTGCTCCAAGCCACAGCTCTTCTCTCACTGTCACCAATATTTATAAAGCAGCTACAACGCGTATCTTGTGCATACACCAAAGGCTCTGCCAGGGAAGATCTTGGGATGAACTCACTTCTGTTACCCACAGTACCTGTCCCAAGACCTGGAACATAGGAGGAGCTCAAGAAATGAATAAATCAGTAACCCTTTGTCTTCAAAGGGAAGAACTTTCTGGAAAGGGACGGGATGTGTGAAGAGGGTATTTGCAGCAAATAACAGCAAAAATCTTGCTAATTAAAAGGAAAGAAGAGCAAAGCTCTGTGCTGGTGATGGCATGGCAGGGAAAGGCACTTTCATACATTGCTAGTACAAGCACAAATAGCACAACCTTTTTCAAAGGTGATCTGGTAAGATCTACCGATACCACTAAGGATATCAGAAACATCAGTCGTGCTAGGAGAGAACAGAGGCAGTGGGGCATGCTGGGAAAATCCCCAGTCTGGGAGAGGAGTCCCGGCTTCCCATCAAGCTACCCAGACAGCCATGGGAATCCCAGGCAAGTCCTTTCCTGTCTCCCAACGTCCAGGTTTTTGTCCACCCAATGATAGAGTTAGGCTTGCTGATCTCTAGACCCTGTTTAGCTGGGATTTCTGTCTCCGACAGAGAGCAGTGGGGCATAGAAACGGGTCAGAGCTCCTCAGAATCTCAGATGTGAATTTAGGGCTTACTAGAGAGCTTGAAGGTCCCCAGGTTTCTATTACGTTTCTAAGATCTTCATTCTGGAAGGTCTACCCCTTAGCTACTCTTCTGAAGAGGTAGTAATTGGAGACATAGGCCTTTTTCCCTTGGCTGACCACCTCACCCATCATGGTCCAGTGGATAAACACATCTTCTCTCATCCACCCAAGACGCATCAGAGACCACCCAGCCACTCCCTGACCAGAGGCAAGGCACAGCCACTCTGAAGGCCTGATAACAGTACCTTCTATTTTCTTTTTCCAGCCAGGCTGCTAGGAAGAGTACAAGATGCTATGAATGCTATTTTGGGAAACCCCAACCCCCAACAAATTACCCAAATAATGGGGTCCAATCTAATCCAACCAAAAGCAACCAAGTCACAAGTTCCTTAGTTCCTTCCTAAGTAAAAATGGGAGCCTCCTTACTTACATCCCCTGGATTTCACAGGACATGTTCCATGGGGGTCTCAGTAGGAGGCACATCACATAAGCAAGCACATACAATGTCTCCCGGCTCACAAAGGCTGATACATGTCTGCACAATAGGGCTCTCAAGCCTTTATTCCGACAACACAACTGTGAACCTTCCAGAGGGGAATAAAGTGTGCTAAGTTTTCTAAACTTGCATGGCCACATCCAACAATATGAATACCCTCTCTCACTTAGTCTCCATCACAATAAAGGCAGAACTAGAGTTTCCAAAAGCCCTTTGTAACTGATGCTAAGTAACCCAGAGCTTTAAACTCATTGAGATGTTTGTTGGAAATGACCCAAAGAAGTATCCACAGTGTAGTGCCCAATACGTCGCTTCACAGCAGCAGGGCTCGCAGGACACCTGCATGGATGTAGCAGGACCAAAACCCTTCCATTTTAGACAGTAGCTACCTTCCCACTTCCTACCAAGCCCCAGCCTGGGGCTGCCCAGAGAAGCCAGCGGCCATTCAATAAATACGTATGGTTTTGAAGATCTCGGGAAATAAATGAGGCCCAGCTCTCTCCTCTCCCACCATTTATCACCCTCACTTAGGGGCTCTCACCAGCCAGGGGTCAGCTCACTGCATTTGCTTGACCTCGCACAGTCTCCCCGCTCACCTTCATTCCCTGCCCCATTTCTCTCCCGGGATCAGGGCTGGCAAAACAAGGAGCTGCTGAAGCACCAAACCCGTCCGCTAATTCCCCACCGACTCCAAACACATCATTTCCCTGACTCATCTCAGGCTGCGTGAGGACACAGCTTATGGATCTGGATTTGAAACTCAAGACAGAAGACTGCCTTTGTGCCCCAGGCAGACAGCTAAACAAAGATTTGGAACTTCTGAGACTATAACTTAATGTGGGCACCACCAATTCAAATAACTTTTGGCCCCTCACTTTTCCCCACTGTGCAATCAGAGGCTATTGTTTTAATTTTTAAAATAAGAATATATCATGAATTACTTGTGAAATTAAAGATTGATAAAATGCTAAGAGGGGCAATACTAATACATTATGCTACAAAACAGTGGCATAACAATAAATATAAAATCACATGGAAGTACTTATTATGAAGCTAAGATAATAATAGCACCCGGAGACTACAATAGGGTGTCTCCAAGTAAAAGCTGTCCCAGTGAAGAAAAGGGGTAGCACTTCTCTCTCTCTTTTTTTAAAGGCAGAATTTGTCCTTACAGACTGAGCTACACAGGGAATAAAAAGAATGTGTAGTGTGTTGTGTCGGGAACACAGTTTGCCCACAGCTCTGAGGTTTTACACAATCAGCGGGCTCTTTATACCTGGGTTACAAACCCACCTGCTTTACTCGCTAGCCTGTGGTTTCCCAAGTGATAAGGGCTGGAGCTCTTTGATTTCTAACCCTGGCAGATCTCCTATCTACACAGAAGTTACAATGTGAGCAGATTTAAGGGTCATGTGCACACATGACAGTGTGTTCCATTTAATGGAGTATGAAGCAGGGAGGCAGGCCTGGGGCTGAGGGTGGAGAGGGCATCTCTGCAATTTATTAAAATAAAGGAAACCTCAAGCCTCATCTTGTGATTTAAGAGGAAGTCAATCATGACCAGTTTGCAGTTTAACTTAGCATCTTGGCCATAGCTTGGCTGTATTTTAAATACAAACTATTGTTGACAGATTAAAAAATGGAGTGGTTATTTTCAAAGGAACTGTTAGGCTCCAAAAAAATGTTTTGTTGTTGTTGTTATTTCCAATAAAATCATGCTGGAACACAAATTACAGCACCTTAGCAAAAAAAAAAAAAAAATTATGAGCTAAACAATACAAGGAAGTAGGAGCTCGGAGATCTGGAGAAATTAATTGAGGTTTGTTCACCACCTATGATTCTCTGGTACTACAATGTTTAGTAGAATCATTTATTATTCTACATTCTCATCAATTTTAGCTTACTTTATACTAACTAAAATCTGGCAGCCCTAATGGCTAAAGAAAATAGATACATTTGAAATAAAAAACATTACCTACTCTTGCCTAATATAAATTTAAATGAAAACAGCCTGAACCAGGATTCTTTCTTTCAGAACAAGCCACCCCTCCCTTTCCAACACCCCACCCTAAAATAGAAAAACACATACACATCACAACCACACAGCATTATTTTCTAAAAGGAGGTAACTCGGGCTCTGTCAAGGCTAATAAACATAAATAGATTTTACCTCTAGCCAACAGCTCAAACCGTCCATTAGGGTAAATTTAAAGATGTTTTTGGAATCAGTGCACAAGCAGACACACCCTGTTTACCCCGAAAACCTAAAACACAACAGCTTCTACACCGAGAGTCTCCACATTAGAGCGGCCCTGGGAACCCTCCAGGACGATTCACCTTCTGTTTTCTGTGACCCCTGAATGCCAGTGGTAGCTATTTGAGTTTAAATGGGACAAAATCAGGAAATGAGCAGGCTGAAGTTTTTTGGATTTTAAAACCAGAGATAATTCTGAAAGGAATGAAAATGGGGTTTAAATGTCCTTAAGGTCCAGAGGGAAATGCAGCCTCAGCTTATTCCTAGGCATTTAGCCACGAAAGCCAAAGTGGCAATGCAGCAGGAGTGTGATCAGAAAAAGCACACACCCTCGCGCCACGCTACAGACAGCGTGTTAACATCAACACGGCCTGAACACAATGGGAATGCCGCCAGAGATCACAGGAGTACGTTCGCATTGGAGAGAACCTGGTTGCCTTCATTAACGTCGTAGGTACTCCCACGGAATACAAATGAGGACACCCACACACGCCCCACGGTGCTCTCTTACCTCCAACATAGGCCTGGCACTATCGTGGACAGACAGAATATGTGTCACCTTGTTCTTGCTCAATTGTTCCGCGTCTCTGGCATCTGTCAGAGAAGAAAGGGGATGGACATTTTGATATCTTTGCAAGTTAATTACTCCTAAAGTCTAGCCAGAAAAAAAAAAAAACCCACAAAATGACTTGCATATTTCTTTCCTGAAACTTCATAACTGACCATACATGTAGGAAACTTAGGGCTACTGCTTTCATATATTTTGCCTAACTTTATTTCTTTTGTTTTTTTTTGAGACGGAGTCTCACTCTGTCGCCCAGGCTGGAGTGCAGTGGCGCCATCTCGGCTCACTGCAAGCTCCGCCTCCCGGGTTCACACAATTCTCCTGCCTCAGCTTCCCGAGTAGCTGGGACTACAGGCGCCCGCCACCACGCCCGGCTAATTTTTTGTATTTTTAGGAGAGACGGGGTTTCACCGTGTTAGCCAGGATGGTCTCGATCTCCTGACCTCGTGAGCCGCCCGCCTCGGCCTCCCAAAGTGCTGGGATTACAGGCGTGAGCCACCGCGCCCGGCCTTGCCTAACTTTATTTCTGATTGTCTCATCTTTTGACCCAGAGTGAGAAAGAAAAAAACTTTCTATGAGGAAGAAGAGTCCCTTTAAATGATCAGGTGCAGAAAGGCCTCTGTAATATAACAGCAGTCTCCTCTCCCTCCCCCTTGAGCTAAATGGTTACCTTGAAGCCATCTGCTATGTGGTCCCTAGACTGATGCCAAGTAGACATAAAATGCCATACATCATAGTTCAATATCGTATAGCCAGGCACTAACCAATGTTATTTCTATAAACCAATGAGAATTCCTGCTGAACAATTTTTTGTAATTGCCACTCTCCTGATTCGTCTTTTTTTCTTTAAAAACTTGAGCCCCTATTTTACTCTCCGGGGCACTCCCCAAGGCAACCTGAAAGTGTGTTTCAGGCTACAGTCCTCAAGCTTGGCCCAAATAAACCCTCTGTATTAATTTTGCCTCAGCTTCTTCCTTTTAGGCAACAAAAGTGTTAATCTAGAAATTGAAATGCACTTAGATTAATAAACATTGTAATCATGATGGATTACATGGATTACATCATCAAGAAGGTAAATTTACGAGACCATTTTGTAGTTAGCATTTGTAAGAGATGACCTTAGGTCAGTCTTTCTGCATGAGACACATAATATTAGGGATATTTAAAATATTTTTTTAATTCAATGGCCTCTTAATGATGAGAATTCTTAAAAAGCTAAATACAAAACCATTAACTCTAGAAGACAAAGGAAACTGCCCATTACTTCTTTCCCCAGACGTCAAAAGCAGGGACAGTTCTGGATTCAGACAGGACTGTGGTTTACATCATCTATATTCACTTTAAAGCACAATTAAAAAATGAAACTTTTTCTGGAAATTCCAAACAGAACTGTCTATCAGCTATCAGTTGGCTATTAAATTATCTCCATATGAAACTAAGAAGATAACAAAATTATATTCCCTTCCAATGTCCCTACCTGCAAAAAGAAGACCAAATGGTGTGATCCCCTGAAGTGGAACCCTTCTACTAATCTACAAAACAGGGGGCCAGCAGGAAATGAGGAGGTCCACTTCCCTACACCCCCATCCCAGCCTGGCTGAACTTTCCTAAATGATACAGGAGAAATGGATCAGAAGGCAAATGTTTAGGCCGGGCATGGTGACTGACACCTGTAATCCCGGAACTTTGGGAGGCCGCGACGGGCCAATCACCTGAGGTCAGGAGTGTGAGACCAGCCTGGTCACCACGGCGAAACCACATCTCTACTAAAATTACAAAAATTAGCTGGGCGTGGTGGTGTGCACCTGTAAACCCCACTACTCAGGAGGCTGAGGTAGGAGAATCGCTTGAACCCAGGAGGCGGAGGTTGCAGTGAGCCGAGATCGCCCCACTGAACTCCAGCCTGGGCAACAGAGTGAGAGTCTATCTCAAGCAAAACAAAACAAAACCAAACAACAACAACAACAAAGAAAGGCAAATGTTTAATTATCATGGTTCTGGAGACTATTTCATGGCATGGGAAAATGCTCAGGGTATAATGTAAAGCAGGTACCAAACCATAAATATGACACAAACCCAACGTATAAAAATGCAGAGACAAACACATGGCAGGGAGGATGGCGGGACTGGTACAAAGACAGCCCCAGCTCAGAGACGGAATTACAAGGGTTTTCTTCCTTCTTTATAGTATGTGTGTGTGTGTGTGTGTGTGTGTGTGTGTGTGTGTGTTCTACATGAGTGGCTCTG
This sequence comes from Homo sapiens, assembly GCF_000001405.40. NCBI lineage: Eukaryota > Metazoa > Chordata > Mammalia > Primates > Hominidae > Homo > Homo sapiens. The sequence continues at coordinate 309,661 of NC_000006.12, read as the reverse complement.
AAGTTTAACACCCTAGGAACTGCCAAGAGGCTAGTTAGAAAGATCTACCCTGGGGCTGAGGAATCTCCATCTCTAACAAGCCTTGATGATGAAGCAGAAGTCAAGAAACATTGTTCTAAACATTCAGCAACGTCAGGAAAAAAAATTTAGGTGATATTAAAATACCACTTTTAAGACTCTTTTCATTGCTCCAACCTCTCAGGCTTCAAATTCCAGGCTATTGCTTTCCCAGATTCAAATTTTCGAGCTTCAAATTTAGGGCTATTGTTTTCAAGTATTTTGCCTAAGTTTATTTCTGACTGGCTCATCTTTTGACCCAAAGTGAGAAAGAAAAAACCTTTTTATACGAGGAACATGAGCCCTTTAAGTTATCAGGCTCAGAAAGGCGTCTATAATATAATAGCAGTGTCCTCTCACTCCCCCTTGAGCTAAATAAATAGTTACCTCAAAGCCACCTGCTATGGATGAGAGCCATCTACATAGCACATGGGGACTCACTGCCAACCCCCAACCCCTCACAAGTTGGGGTACCAGCAAGGCTAGCTTAGAATTAATTAGGCAGAAGCTAGAATCGTTTTGGAAGCCACAGGCAGCCAGTTCCCACATTCACACCAAAATGGGATTTTCCAATCGCCACCAGCATGGGACATTTTAGAAAAGCAGTGAAACAGACAAAGCCACAGCTTCAGCGCTCACAGAACCTGGAGGAGGTGGGGCGAGGACCCAGTAGAGGCGGGGCAGCCTGATGGCGCCAGCTCATCTGACCCACCCACCTGGCTCCTCCAGACACCCATTCCACCTGGCATTTGAATGTCAACCATCCGTATTTGTTTCAATCTACTTTTCTCCTTTCACAAAGCTTTATTGGGATATAATTCACATACCATAATACGGACCCTGATCAAGTATATGATTCAATGGTTTCATACGTTCACAAGGCTGCACAATAGCCACAATATATAACTTTAGAACATTTTCTTCACCCCGTAAATATGCTTTGATAATACAGAGTGAATCTTTTTAAAGTGGCCTGGGGAAAAAAGCATACATTTCTGAATAGAGAAGACCACTTGATATCACGACAGCCCACTGCCGGCTGGACTCCAAAGCACAGGGAAGCACTCCGGGGCCAGCACCTCCCCTCTTCCTCACCGCACGCTAGCACCGTGTTCGCTGATGCATCCTTTCCCATAAGGCACAGGCTCTGCCCACTTACTTCAGAGTGCATAAAATGCTTAATCAAACCTGCTGGGTGATGACCCTGGAACTTTAATTCTTACAGACTTCACACTATTGGTTGTCCTGGAAGGCGACCTACAATCATGAGCAGCGAGGTAATGAGCTGGGAATCCAGCTGTAAGGCTCAAGGTGGAGTTTCCTAATGTGCACAGACACAAGCTTGTACATTTCAAACTAGCTCCTCCTGAGCACAGACCTAGAGGGGCAGAACTTAGCGCTTTGGTGCTCAACATGGGGTCCTCCAACCGGCAGCAGAGCATCAAGTAGACCCCATGTCTACTTGATCAGAACATGCGCTTTAAGAAGAACCCCAGAAGGTCATGTGCACCCTAACACTGAGCCCTGGAGGGAATGACCTTTGGCCCGGTGCCAGCGGGCCCCTCCCCAACTGGCAGTCACAAATGCAACAGGTTAGTAATTCATAAAACCAACAGGAAGGTTATCAGTTAGAATTCATGTGGAAAAAATAAGTCTGGATGGACATATGCTGACCTGTTAAGCATGGTGATTTTGTCTCAGTAAGCTGACAGCAGACTACCTCTGACCAGGCTGGCCTTGTCCAAACAACTGGGTACCCACCAGGACTGTCTGTCTTACTGGCAGGCACAAAACACAAGCTCAAGACTGCGAACATGGTCTCAATGCACACCACTCACGTACACACAGTACCTAAGAGCGTTCCCACTTTTCTAGAATTCTGTGGACATCTTCAAACAATGAGGGCTTCGTCTGTCAGCTGACATCTACTGTCGCTGGTGCCAAGTTGTAAGGAAGCCACGGACCCACCCTCCGGCCCAGGGAGGGGCTGCTCTCTCTGGCTTCCACTCCCTGCCTTCCCTCCTGGCTTCTGGGCAAGGCTGCCTGCTGCATCCTGGAGCCTCAACAGAGAGGCTCTCACCAAAGCATCGAAGACCCAAAGACCGGGCTCCAGAGCTGGGTTTGTTTGTGGTTCTTCTCCAGGAGCAAAAATCACCAGGCGCTACAAAACCATTTGTGGATTCATTACAAAGCTTTTTTTTCTTAAGAGTTGCAGAGTGACAGGCGAGGGATCCTACTGAAAGGAAGGAGGGAAGAGGAGAAGGAAGGGAGGGAGGGAGAGAAGTGGGGAGGGAAGAAAGGAAACGGGAAGGGGAAGAGAAGGGAGGGGAGGAAGGAGAAGGGACAGAAGAAGGGAGTGACTGTTTACGTTCCTTTCTACTCTACTGGTTCTTGTGTTACAAGAGGCACATATTACTCGTAATTTTAAAAGAGCAGGATAAATGACTATATGAGATGCCAGGCAAGAGCACAGATGACAGCTGGATTCACCGCCCAGGAAAAAAGAAAGAGGCCACATTCCACATTGGGTTTCCACCCTTGCCAGCCAATGCCACCCAGCTGCCTACTGCAGACCTGGCATCGATCGGGCTCCCATGGCAGTAGCAGTGAGTGTGTGGGTGCTTATTTATCAGGGCACCAGGTATTGGGCACTGAGCCCACCGAGGGCATCACCCATTGTCTGGGTCAGCCCCGCTACAGCCCTGTGAGACAGACTCCATCTTCCCAGTCTACACCCCCAGGTGTGTAACTCATGTGAGGACACACACTGGCCCCTTCCTGTTCTGCACCTGCTGTTGGACTCTGATAGCCTGAGGGCAGGGACACTGGTCCACATTCAACTCCCAGCACATCGTGTGTTCCCGATAAGCTTGTGCAATGAACAAGTGAATTCACAGCACAATTGGGGAAAATACTTCCTCTCCTTCGAGCCACTCGCCAATTCACTGTACTCTCATTCCTTTCTTTTAGATAAGCCTTGTACCTGGAAAGCGTTTAATAAATATTTGGCTAACGAGTGAATAAAACACAACCTCATACCAATATCAGAATAACTTAAGGTAATAATGCAGCATTAACCCTATGAACAAGGAGAGGTGGTGGGCTGTTTACAACACTCTCATAGACGAAACCACAAAGCACAAGATCCAGGAACTTGCAAGGAGTCCTATGTTATTGAATATTTAGAAAACAGGTATAGCTTGTAGTGTGAAAAGAGTTTTAAATATTTCCTTAAAGCTGTCCTTCCAAAAAAAGTAACCTTTCATGATTAAGGCTAAAACTCTCACATACTGTTGTCAGAAGTGTTGAATTTGGTTCATATTTATTAAAATTTTTAATTTCAAACCTTTCATCTAGCAATTCTACTTCTAAGAACTTATCCTAAACTCTGTTCTCAAAGACACTCCCTTTCCCCATGAAAACAGTTAATAACTCACTAAATAACTCTGACGTTTGCTACATTAATGTATCCTGGCCTACTCACCACAAAGGGTTTGCTGCTTTTTCAGAACTACAAAGCTTACTAATTTAGCAAGTCCAGTACTATTTTTAACATGTTCTTGTAGCAATTAGCAGCTGTCAGCTCTCTGTGCTCAATTCTCTTTGAGGCCTAATAGTGAGCTGGGGGGATACGGGTGTGTGTGTGGAAACAGACATTATAGAGCAACAATAAAGATTATTTGTACAATCAATTTGAATCTGAACTCAGAAATTTCAGCAACATCCAGAAAGCCAACAGGAGTGGCCATGTTCTGGCTTGTTAGGGAAGGGAGGAGCATTAGCTGCCTATGACATGGTCTGGCTCTGTCCAACCTAACATGAGTGGGGACCTGCCTGCAAGCTTCCCAGGTCTCTCCCATCCTATTAAGGGCCCCTCATCTCTATCTTCCCACCTCATCTCAGTGATTCACTTACACAAACTCTGAAGGTCACCTGGCAGGGGGACTTGGCCCCTCCCTGGAAGCCGACAAGCCCAGTGACCACCGTGCTCCAGAGCTGAGTGAAAATAGAGTCAATAGCTGACAGTAAATCAATCAGTACGGAACAAGTGGCAGGAAATGTGTGAGAAGAGAAGCACCAGATGAGAAGAATCTGCCAGAGATGAAATTGTCACTCTTGTTTCCCAGGTGACTTAAAAAGAACAGGCTTCTGAAAATTTCTCAATAGTAACTAAAAAATGAAAGTTGTAAAAGGTTATAAATAAGTCACATGATTGCTAAATGTGCCTGTTGTCCAACACCTTTTGATGATAATGTTCCAACAGGTGTGGAGAGTTCAAAGGAGAACCAGGGCAGAGCTGGAGCGGGCACAGCCTCACATCACTCCATCAGGTGATGGTCAAGGGGCTGCGGTGCACCCAGCAAGGGGCTTGGGTGCAAGTGGGGGCCACTCCCAGAACAGACTGTAGACTGAGTCTACACTTTGCCTGTCAATCTCACCCATGAGAAGTCTAAAGCTGATCTTTTAAAAAGTGAACTCACTTTTGGTGGAAACAGTCCAAGTGTCCACGAACAAATAAATGGAAGCAAAATGAGGCCTATGCACACAATGGAGTATTATTCAGCTTTAAGAAGGAAGGCCATTCTGACACACGCCGCAACACGGATGAACTGTGACACTGTGCTCAGTAAAATAAGCCAGTCCCAAAAGCACAAATACTGCATGATTTCACTAAGAGGAGGCTCCGATAGTTGTGAGATTCATAGAGGCAGAAAGCAGAATGGTGGCTGCCCGGGGCTGGGAGGAGAGGAATGGGGAGTTGGTGTTTTAAGGGACACAGTTTCAGTTTGGGAACATGAAAAGTCCTGCAGAAGGATGTTGGTGATGGCTGCACAGCAATGCAAATTACTTAAAGCCACTGACCTATACACTTTAAAATGGTCAAGATGACACATTTTATGTTATGTGTATTTTATCACAACAATAAAAAAGCAAGAACTCACCTTTGAAGTTGCCGATGTACAGGCCGGGCAGGATCTAGGAGAGAGACAGACACAGACATGAGCATGGCAGACTCTAAGTGGATGGTATTGCAGAAGGGGGCCTCATCCAGCAGCAGGATCCCTGCAAAGGCCAGGTGCTTCCCCAGTACAGCACCTCCCTGACAGACACGCGGGTGACCCAACATCCCCAGCGGCCTGTGGAAGGCCGTGGGTTGGTGCCCATCGACTCGCTGGGTTTAGGGCCCGGCTTCGACCCCGTCATCCTCATTTGCAGCCCTGCAGTGCTGGTGGGCATTCTGAGGGTCCAAGTCCCCTGCCCCGCCTGCCCACCCTGGCCCCACAGCCCTGGCGGCCCTGCAGCTCTGCACTCTGCTGCACGAGGCCACTGCACACACGGTGCCCACTGCAGGCGGTTACACTCCCGCCCACCTCACCCTTGGCCAGTCCTGAGCCCCAAGTCCAGGGTTGGCCCCCGGCTCAGTGACAGTAGCCCTCTATGTCCCCTGTGTGGCGATGCTGCTGCGAGGGCATGACCAGGTGAAGGCCCATCTTTCTGTCGGGGAAAACTCCTTGGGCAGCAAACGAATCCTGTTGCTCACTGCTGCCTCCCCAGCCCCAGGCCAGGATGACAGTCAACAATGGGTTGTTAAATAAATGATCCAACCTCCACATATATGCAGGTTAAGAAGAACACGTCTTTGTTGCAAAATGTCAACTCTTCTAAGGCAGTGGTTCTCAAACCAAACTCCCCATCAGAACTCCAGAATCTGTTAAAAATACACATTTCTGGGCAAGCCCTCCTCTCCACCTCCAGCCCCCGCATGGAATGATTTAGCAGGTCGGCAATGAGAAATTGGGGTGGCTTCTTTCACACCCACAATTTGCGAAGTAGGAAGCAAATTCTTGTCTTGCCAGCACTTTGCATGGACACTCTGAAATTTAAATAAGAACACAGTACCACTTGTTAAAGTATGCTCACGATATCACTTGCCACGATTTCCAAGCACATACAACCAGCTCGTCTTGGTGACGCTTCACCACAGATCCCTAGATGTCCTAGCCTCGCCCCCACTGTCTGCCAACCCTGCAGCTCCCCTATCTTCCTTCACTCCCACTGAGGAAGTCCAAAGAGCCTGTAGTACAGTTCTTCATGTTAGCTGATTTCTTCAAGCATCTTCCTGACCACCGGCTGCCTCGCTAAAAACCCATGGCTCATGTCTAGTGATTGCAGGGGATCTATTGTGGCTCATGTCAGGGCGGCAGTGCTAGGCCCAGAGCTAGTCTCTGTGCAGAGGGACAACCAGCCAAGGGGCCACGTAATGTATCGGCCAAACTGGGACAGTCCAAGAATGAAAAGAGGCTTTGCTAATCATTACTCCGAGACAACAGTCTATACTTTATCATTCCTATCTTGAAAGACGGGAACAATGCAAGTTCGTCCTGGATGTGGATCCCACTGATGTTCTCTGGCAATGCTTGACTGCACAGAGCTTTGCTGTGTGTAGTCTCTCATTCCCGAGGGTCTCTCCTGCCTTTTTTAGGATGTGGCAGTAGACACTAGAGAGCATCATTGCCATGTGGCTCTTCTGTCTGGCAGTGCAATGACCCCTCCTTGACCAAACTTTAGTCAGGTTCCTCTGAGTCCTTTTCTCAACAAGGCCTGGTCCTTGCCCGACCGAGTCCAGTGCGAGCAGAGACCTGCTAAGCGTATCCCCTAAGACCCCACCAAGCTCCTGTTCCTCCACCCCGATGTCTAATCCAGTTCCCCTGAGTGGTATTCCACCCACTCCCTCACCCTGCCCTTGGCTTTCCATCCACCCTTGTTCCTGCCATATTGGAGTCGCGTCCTCCCCTGTTGTGATGGTCTCGAATAGAGTCTTCCTTGCTGGCTTAACCAAGTGTCAGGATCACTTTTTACAGCAGTGACTCTACAGTTATAATCACTAGGCGATTTTCTAGATCAAAATGTTTCTAGACTATAAGCATGTTTATCTGCCCAAAGTCAGAGAACGTATCATAGTGGCTAAAGTTCCTCAGGCACAATGCCGGGCACTCAGCGTAGAGGTGTGACTGAGAGAGACAGGGCCCTGCCCTCATGAGCAGCTCACACAGGGAAAGTGGAGGTGACCTGACCACTCTGGGGTCGCAGAGGGCTTCCTGGGGACAGTGACACTCAGGACCTGCAGCCCAAGAGCAGTGGGCAGACAGGGAGGGGACAGCAGAACGGTCAGCCTGCAGAAAGGGTCTTGTCTCTACTGGAGGGAGTGGGAGAGAGGTGGAGAGAAGGCGGGCGTTAGTGCAAGGAGCTGGTCCTGCACAGCAGACACTGTGGCCACTGGCCACTATCCAGACTCCAAGTTAGGTGCCATGAAATGGAATACGACGCCTAAGATGTGTGGGGCTGTGAGGAAGACGATCTTACGCGTTTTAACTTAATATATCTTGAAAATGGTATGAAAAACAGGAAAGGTACAGCTGTGTGCACGTACACTCCCTTCGTCACCATGCTCACCTCCGTGACGGCGATGGCGGGGTCCTGGAGGAGGGCTTCTGCATTTCTCTCTGAGCTTGCCTCCGCCATCTGACACTCCAGTCCTGTGCATGCACTATGCCAATTTGCACTTTTTTTAAATCAAGAGGGATTATTCGGAAAACAGATTATGGCCCATTTTTGCTTTTTTTCTTTGTACATCTACTATCTTCTCTACTAAGCACAAATTAATACATTTTATATTATCTTTAAAATTAAATGAGGGCATAAGAGTAGACCGTCTCTACATTCTAATGTTGTAGAACCATGATGTTCTGACTCCTAAATTCATCGTCTGGAGCCCGGCTTGCTGCAGGACTATCTCAAGCAAACCACTGTTTTCCCACCACCGTTGTCAAGTCCTCCTGCCCCTGATGGTGCCACCTTCTCCCAGTCACCCCGAATGAAAACCCAGGGCTCCCACCGCTGTGGCACCTCTCTCTCAATTCTCTGCTCCCCTCCTCCCGGGAATTAGAAGGCCTCTCACAGTCTCCCTCCTCAGCCTTGCGCAGAGCCTCAATTCACACAGGGGTTACAGTAGTAAACACTGAACTCATTCCTCTGTCCTATCAAATTAATTTTCTAAAGCCATATTCTTCCTGGGTGATTTTCTACCTCAAAATGTTCAGTAACAACCCTTTTACTTAAAAAATCAAGGCCAAACATTGAACTAAATATTCAGCATGGCTTCCGCAGGTTGGCTCCAACCGATCTCTGAAGGATTTCCCCCAACTTCTTTCTTATGTCCAGCCGAGCCAGGTCATCCCCATTCTCCCAATACCCCTTACTGGTCCCATCTTGCAATAGCACTTTCTTTGCCCTAAATATTCTTTCTAAACAGAGAAGAGGTTCCCACTGTTTGGGGTCCTTTATCCCTTGGGTATGCTCGAAAACCACAAACCCTGTAATGGCCATTTATCTTATTGGTTTTCCAGTCTCTGAAACCCTTTCCTAGGTTTGGGGATACCCTGGCCCCAGGGAGTCTTGGTGGGAAGCAGAGCCCAGCTGTTAGTATAGAAGCTGCCAATGCCAGATACCTGCTCACGTAAGCCTTTGCTGCTACATGGGTGTGACCCACGTGTAACAAGTCTGCACGCCGGCTGCAGGGATAGCCTAGAGTGTCCTCTTTGGCAACAGAGGCAGCAGGGCTGGTGGCACATTCAGTGTCCACTGGCTGTAGCATCAGCATCTTGCGGTAGCCCCAGAAATGCTCTCACTGACCACTTACAGCATCTGCTCCTGCCAAGGTTGCCCCTGAGTCTGGCTCTCCAGCCTTCCAGGCTGTCTGCCCTGTTCTACCTAAGGTAACCACATTTGGATGCTGTTGCTTACAGCCAAGGACCCTGATGTGGGCTTTCAACCTGGAAAAATGCATAAATGCAGAAGAGTGCACAGATCTTGAGGCAAGTCACAGGCACAGCAGGTCTGTTCCTGCCCTGCCTCTAGTACCGAGACCTACCCGCCCTGCTAGGACCAGCTCAACCAGGAACCCTCCAGAGATCACTCCGACAGGAGACTCTGCCCTTTCTGGACTTCACTGCTGCTCATTTGCCATTTACTTCCACGCAGCAGCTCTCCCACTCATGTGCTCCTCTTTGAACTTTCAGGCTCAGCTTCTTAGCGTCTCCCTTCTGAATTCCTGCAGCAGCTTCCTAGTGAGCTCCCTACCTCCAGACTGAGTGGTCCCTCCAAAGGATTCCTCAAACCATCTCAAGTGCAAAGTTGATTGTGTGACTCTTCAGCTTAGGGCTCCGTGTAGCTTTCAGCATGAAACCCAAATTCTACACCTTGGCAAGGGAGACCTTTCAGGAGTGGACCCTCAAATGTCTTCAGCCTGAGCCCGAGCCCGAAGGCATTCTCCAATCTCACCCACATCTAAGGAAGTGACCACGGTGCAACCAACCAACATGGCTATGCAGAGACGCAGGCCAGGGCCCCCAAATTCCAGGCTGTTTTATGGGAAACAGCCCAATTTTCAAATATTGTCAATTAAATTTTAAAAACCACTAAAATACTGTGGTTGACAAACTAAACCCATCTGTGGGCTGACCAGGGCCCATGGACCTCCAGTCTACGATCTCTACCTGCTGCCTGTATCTTCTTTGTAAATATATTTTTGAACTCGATTGGTTCTCCCTTGGGTAGGTACTCAAGTCAACATTTCTCCAATGAATGAGTGAACAAACAGACAATGTGAACAGGGTGAGAGGAAAGGAGAGAGAAAAAATGATGATGAGTGAAGCCTGATACGAGCTGTGCCAGGGAGAGGGAACGCTGCCCCTTTCTGCCCTGAGTGGACTTCCACATGCGAAACGGTGCCCGGCCACACCTGTGGCATGGGCCTAGTGCTGGGGAGCTGCTGCAGCAGCGTGCTGGCAAGGATGGGAAGTCTGACCTGAGGAGGCAACTTCTTAAAAGGAATTGAAGATGAGTATTTTACATACATTTTAAATATTTTTAAGTAATGTAAAGAGAAGACCAAATTGTGTCAGTCAACCTTTAACTTCATGTTTCAGACCAGGAGACTGAGCTAGAGTTTCAAGACTGGAAATGGAAAGCAGGTTGCTCAATCCCTCTCTGTAGTCACAGTATGATTCTCTTCCATATAGAATTACAAACAAGATTAAGCAGGGCTGGTTTCAAGGAGACTAAATAAAAGGCCCATGAATATTTCAACTTCTACACTAGTCAGCTTCGTAATTCAGACTTGAAACCCAAAAATTTTGACCCATCTATTTTCACGATATTTTTGTTGCTGGTAATCCCTGAATACAGAGAAAGAGAACATGAAATAAAATCAAATAATTTTCCAGCAGAGAGACGATTTATAGAGGAGACCTGGGAACCACAAGGTGTTTATCTGCAACAACCTGGCTGACCAGTCAGGCCACGCAGGAGCTGAGCTCAAGCCAGAAGCAAGAAAAACAGAGAGAAAATGAAATCATTACCACCTGGTAGAAAGCAAGGACAAGTTGGAAAAAAAAGCCTGTAAAGGCAACTTGGGAATGTCCCACTATGCTGAAGTAATAAGCACAGAATTGGTGCTAAGCATCTGTGGGCCTCTGAAACTGCTGCTCTTTCCCTTTGCTGGGGACACTGTTCCTGAGTGGCCTCCCACAAGATGACCATTTCCAGGGAGGTCTCTCCTGACCACCAAACTCCCTGGCACTCTCTCTCTCATATCGCCTTGTTTTATTTTCTTCACCACATTTATCAGTGACTAAATGGCTGTATTCATTTCCTTACTTTCGGACTGATCTTGCAGCAGAGGGTGCATCTGTCTTGTCTCCTAATGTGTCCCTAAAACCTGCCCAGAGTCTAACACGCTAAGAGGAAGTCTGAATAAACGGTGACGAAACAGCACAGGCCACAGAGGAAGACGGTCTCTGGCATTCCGCAGGTCAAAGATTCCTGTTTTCTGTTACAAGACCGTCTGGGCATAGACAATATAGGCAGAATCCTTCTGCAGAAATGCTTTGAAATCACCCTAAAGATTCTCCACGCTTGATGGTTCCTCCTGATGGACAGCTTCACAGAAATGCAAAAACACAAATCCTCAGCCACAAAAACGCACTTAAGCACAAAAGAATACTGCTTCTAAGGCAGGAAATATTTTGAGTTTACTTTTTAAACATTTATTTTAGTCCTTCAGGATGCATGGCATCTAAGAACCCCACCCAAACTGATGCTGAGAAGTAAACTCCTGAGCAAGCAGCTGCCCAAGGCCATGTGTGGGGTGGGGGTGGCAGCGGAATCTTAATTCTTTCTATGTCAGAAAGGACTTTCTGGGTTTCAAAGCCAGGCATGAAGGGGAAAACTTTGGTGGATTCCTTGAAGGGTTAAATGTCACAGAGACATTTTAAATGCCATTTGGCCATGGACTTAACCAGTTTGCATATAAAAAGGGAAGAATATGAGAATACTCTCCTGGGCCCTTAGAACACTGCCTTTAACATCTGTTCTTCAACACGAAATAAAAATGTAATATTAAATGGAGAAAAGAGAGAGCCCTCGGGGGGTGGTGTAGAGGAAAGGAACCAGAGCCCACCGGCATGTGGCCATCTGTCTGTCAGTCCTGCAGCAGTGGCTGAGTGTTCATTTCCTGCAGGAGGCTCCTCTCCAAGCTGCCTGGGACTGATCTGCATGGCAGGGTCTTCGTGTCTTTCCTATTAACAGCTCACTACAGGATCTAACACAGTGTCTTGACTGTGTTCAATAACAATATGGTGAACAGGTGCATGGATGGATGACTGGATTACGCAGGCAGCCAAGTCACCTGCTGCCAGGTGGAAAAAATGGATTTAGCAGCACAAAGGTGCCTGACCTGCCAGCCCTTCCCGTATGAAAACAGAGCTTCTCAACCCTGTAAGCCCTACTCCACCTTTTGATAACTCTCCAGTTCCAGATCACACAGGCCTCAGGAAATTCTGAGAGGAAGAACCCTCAATAGTGGTTCTCAACTGGGGATGATTTCACTCCCCAGGGGATATCTGCCAACATCAGGGACATTTTTGGTTGTCACAGGTGGGGAGGTGCTACTGGCAACTATTGGGTGAAGATCTGAGATGTTGCTAAACCTCTCATAATCCACATGGCAGTCTCACAAGTAATTATCCTGAAATGTCTACAGGTGTAGCCGTTGAGGAACACCGGTCTATGCCTAGAGGGAACATATTCTCTTTGAATTATAATCCTTTCCCAACTATACTCCCTCATCTTCCTAACAGGGCAAGAGCCATCCTCAAACAAGTGTCAGTCACATCCAAGAACACTCAAAACAGACTGTATTTGCACTTCACAGTTTGGAAAAATGTGTTCTAATAAATTCCCATTTGCTTCTCCCAATAACCCAATTAGTAATTGGGGAAGGTATCATTACCCTCATTTTACAGCCAGTAAGGAGACTGGATTAGCTAACCACCTAAGGTTTCTTAGTTCTATACATCTATGAATCCAGGAAGGAAAAAAATCCTGAAGCTTAGAAACATTTAAGTGACTTCTTCAGGATCACACCCATGAAGCAGCAGTGGTGGAGGTGCCCCAGATCAGGCTTTTTGTTAGCCAGCCCCTCTTAGCAACAGTGCGCTCCCCATGGAAACAAGATGCACCCACTGAAGTGAGGCCTCCCAGCACCATGAGAGGCTTCCCGAGAAGGACAGGGATGGCAGCCATTCCCACCAGGCAGGGTGCTTTCAGAGGACACACAGCAGGGAGGAAGGAAGAGGCCACAAGACCAGGCAGGCCGGATGCTTGATGAGCTAAACGAACCCTGGCAGTCAGTGGAGGGCAAGATGCCAACCAGAGGGTCCTCATATCCTGCCCTAGAATGCAAGGCTTCAGCCCACTTTTAGGCTGATCAAGATAAAGACTTCTTGCACATGAGAAGCATTTGGGGCAGCCTTCTCTGACATAATGTTTGGCTAGAGACTAGTCGTTTGTTTTGTTTTTAATGGGGTATTGTAGTACTGAAGACTAATAAGTAGACAGTGAGGATAGGAGTTTTGTTTATAGGCTCTCCCCCAAAAGATTTGAGGGTTCAGACTCGAGAGAACTTTGAGTCAACTAGGAGTTTTCAAAGGCTCCACAGGAACACGACATTTGCATGCAACACCCTGTTTAGTTTAACCCTAATCTTACCAGAGACATTTACTAGACTAATATCTTAGCAGCGTGGTGAGGCACTCTGCATTGTGGCCGAGCCAGACTGTGGCTTTGAGTCCAGGCTCTGCTACTCACCAGCTGGGTGACCCTGGCAGTTCCCTTAGCCTCTGTGTACAACCAGAAAACAGGCATGAAAATAACAGGATCTACTTCATGGAGTTGTGGCTTACTCTATGTGGTAAAGTACTCAAAACACACCATAAACTCATTGGCAATTATAATTTTGGCCAGTGTGGGGCATCTACCTAGGAATTGCACACACAAACAAAAACAATAAAAAAAAAGTTTTAGTTTCTTGCCTGTAATTACCCCCTTCCTTATCAATGTCAAACATAAAGGAAGAGAGGAGGTGATTTTGGCTATTTGACAAGTAATCGAAGCTATGAGGAGCTTTTCAAGTTACTTTTTAGGAATTTTAAAACTTACTTGGGATGAATTAGCATCTCAGCTCAAAGGAAAGACTTTTCCTATCTTCAAAATCAGTGGAGACTGGGTTCTGCCCTGCCTGGCATTACTTATGCTACCTAACCTCTCCAAATCTCCATTCCCCAATCTGGGCAAATATAAGGTCGTTTGACCTCATAGGGCTACCGTGAGGCTGAGATTTTATAAAGTGTTAAAAAAAATGGTTCACAACTGTGTTGTTGTTGGGTTTTTTTTTTTTTTTTTTTGAAACAGGGTCTCGCTCTGTCGCTCAGGCTGGAGTGCGGTGGCACAATCACGACTCGCTCCAGCCTAGACTTCCCGGGCTGAGGTGATTCTCCCACCTCAGCCTCCCAAGTAGCTGGGACTACAGGCACAAGCCACCACACACTCGGCTGATTGCTTTGTTTTTGTGGGTTTTTTTTTTGTATTTTTGGTAGAAACAGGGTTTTGCCATGTTGCCCAGGCTGGTTCTAAACTCCTGGACTCAAGCAGTCCACCTGCCTCAATCTCCCAAAGTGCTGTGATTACAGGCACGAGCCACCACGCCCAGTCCTGTCTTTATTTCCTCATCTTTAATTTTCTAGAATATAAAAGCCTTTTTCCCCTCCATCTTCTGTATAATCTGCTGCGTACACCTAACGGAAACGGGCACAATATTCCGCCGTACAGGAGCCCGGAACGGACCGACAAGAAGAGCCACCACAGGGATGTGAATGATAAAAACTGCTGTCCCAAAGCACTCAGAATGCAGCGTGCACTGTTTAGACCAGAAATGCTCTTTTGCCAAAAATGACCAATGTGTACGAGATTGGAAAGAAATCTTGTCCCAGTAACCTCAGGGCACACACATTCCAAGTTATGTTAGTTCCAAAGACATTGCACATATTTATAAATGTTCTTAGAAAAGGATTTCTAGGGGTAGCACCTTCCGCTGATTCTGCAAATCAACCATTCTTCTTTTTTTACAGATGAAGCCTCGTTCCAAGTCACACAGTAATATATGGAAAAGTTCTAGTTAAGGTTCTTAAGTTACTGGCCTCCTGCGATCTACTTTGCCACTAATGAACCTTGTGATTTGGGGTAGTTCCTCCTGATCTCACGTTAAACATGTTTACTGCAGCAGGATTCCTTGCCTGGGCTGAATGCCCCTTCTAGGTCACTTTCATCCCATCTTCTGCTTTCCCCACTTTTCTGAAATTGCCTATTTTATCCTCTGGAGCCTCTACTCCTCCCTACCTTGTGTTTGTTCTCTCTCTCACCCCCACACACATACACACCCTGTGTTGTGCAACACAGCAGCCATTAGCCACAGTGACTATCGAGTACTCCAAATGTGGCTAGTCCAAAATGAGATGTGATTTAGGCATAAAATACACACTAGACTTTGAAGGTTAAGTGATCTGGGGGTCCCGAGATTTTTCCTTTCACAAAGACATAGTAAAAAACATGGAATCTTCCATGAATAACTTTATATATTGGTTACATGTTGAAACAATAGTTTTAATATATTGTTAAATAAAATATATTATTAAAATTAATTTCACCGGTTTATTTTTTAATGTGGCTACCGGAACATTTTAAGTTACATATATAGCTCGCATCATATTAGTGCTGGACAATGCTGACCTGTACTGAAGGTTCTGTGAAGAATCTTTGGGTCATTTACCACTGTACTCCCTTTGCCCCCTCCCCACCCACTAGCACAACACCTGGCTCATAGTATGTACATAATCAATAAGTGTTGAAGCAGGGAAGTCTCTAAATCTCTCTATACATGTATTTCTTCATTGATACACTGTGAGTCTCTATTCACAAGATAATAAAAGTCAAGAAATTTATTACCCATTTTGAAAGGTAAAAAGTATATGAATATTACTGCTTTTGTTGAAAAGCATGAAAATAACGTTGATCCCTTAGGCAACCATCTGTATTCCTAAATATATTTTTTGAATTGTATTACACAAATACTATAAATTAAATGCTGAAAACGGTGGAGAGTGAACAGCTCAAGTGGGAAAACTAGAAACAGCCAAAGGAAAGCTGAGATACCACCACCAATGGGAAGGCAAACGGAGCCCACAGACTTATGATGACCATCTTTATTGTTCTGTTTTAATTTAAAAAGCAGAAGGCTCGTGGTGCTGATGGATTCCAGTGCTCATCGGAATATAATACAAGTATTTATCCAAGAGAGAGACAGTCTGTTTCCAAACTTGATCACTCGCCAAAAAAAAAAAAAAAAAAAAAGTGAATACAATTCTCTTTACCAAAATACCCCAGTATTGATATGCAGGTCCCAAACACACAATAGTTCTTTCACAAACTGGGTAACCAGGACACAATAAACACGACATGCGCACGTGAAAAGTTAGCTAGGTTTTCCCTGCCCTACCGTGAATCCGCATTTGCAACACTCCAGCCCCAACACCCAAACCACTGCTGACCCAGTGCTGAGGGACATGAAAAAAAACACAGCCACATTGCCATCCCCACCCAGTGTGGAAGCTGACGGCATGTAGAGATGTGGGTGGGTGGAGCGCAATGAAAAAGTGAAGCAGAAAGACGACTCATCTAATCCAGGACCATTCAAAGACCCGTAAAAAGGTACTTGTCTTTGTTGCGGGCTTTGTAAAGTCTTGTCAATCCTTCCTCGAAACCAGCCAAGTACCAAGTAACAAAATCCTTAACCCTGTGGTTCACATGAATACACCCCGGCAACTCTCAGCTGCCAGAGCTGGAATCTGGCAACTTCCCTGGACGGGAAAGGCTAGCCCACCGCCCGGGAAGTGAGGTGCGGGCAACAAAAGAACACAGGGTGGGGCCCAGAAACGGACGGGACAAATGGAGCAACACAGATTTTCCAGAAGGCCTCATCAGCGCAAGCAGCCAGCAACAGGTTGCCCTTGTTGCAGAAGTCACATAACCTAATCAACTCTGAATCTTTTCTCTCCTCCCCACTATCTAGAAACAGCTCAGGACTTAGGACTCTGTTAACTTCTCTGTCCACAAGAAAAACTTCTCTGTGCTCACAGGCACACACACAGAATCTGAGGAGAAAGAGGAAATTACAGAGGACACCCGTTTACTAATGATGTGGGGGGGGCGGTGGTGGCTTCAAGAGCGTAGTTTGGGAGCGAAGAGGAGGGCAAAAAAGAAGCCACATCCATTCGGAGCTCAGCTGACCTCTCGGCAGAACAAGTGTCAACGCTTTCAAAGGGCGCGGCTTGTTTCAGCCACGAAAACGCACCGGCTGGCAAGGCAGGCGGCTGGGGGCTGCCTACCCGGAAGCCGGGTGGGGTGGGGGCGGGAACACCTCCGAACCCCGACTCCGCGGTCGCCGCCCAGGCGCGCCGCCCCTCCCTCCGCGCCCGTCCCCACCGCGGGAAAGGGCACCCCGGGCTCGAGTCGTCGGGCAGCCGACGCCGGCGAGACGGCAGGGCGTCGGAGCGGAGGCAAACCCAGCGCGAACGAGGGAAGACGTTACCTTGTTCATCCCATTCCCCATGGTGGCTGAAGGCGAACGCTAGCGCCCCGGCCGTGTGGTCGCAGGCGCACTATGGCATGTTACAGGGAGGAGGAGCGGCGGGGCGGGCGGGGAGGAGGCGCGCGGGAGGGACTGAGTGCTCGCAGTGTCAACAAGTCAGCGGCAGGGACCGGCCGGGCAACCCAGGGCGCTCCAGAGACCCGGCGTGGAGGGCAGGGCTTTCTGTGCGGCGGCCTAGAACTTCCCGGCGGGAGCCGGGCAGGGGCACCGGAGCCTATGCCGGGAAATGGTCCCGCCTTGCCGGTCCCCGCCCCCGTGCGCACCGGGCAGGCCCAGCGTCCCTCCTCGCTCCGCCCGCCCGCACCCTGGGATTCGTAGTCGGGTTCCTGGCTGCCGCGCCCCACTCCGCCCTCGCGGACCCCGGCTCGCGGCCGCCGGGCGTGGGAGGCACTAGGCTCGGGCTCCCAGGCGGCCGGCCCCGGAGGCCAGAGCGCGTGCGCGGCCCGAGCCGCCCCGCCGGGACACCCGAGGCTGCGCGGCGGGGCCTGGCGGACGCGCAGGCGCTGCCCTGACCGGGCGGCTGCGCTCGTCTCGGAGCCCGCTCCCCGGCCGGGGGTCTCCAGATCCCCCTTTGGCCTTTTCCCCTGGGGCGACTCCGGGGGCCAGTTACCAGCAGTCGCTACCCAGCCTTGGCTGCCTCCGTGAATCAGGTGCTAATCAGAGGCCTGGTCTCTGGGGGCTCCCCTGCCTGGGTTTTCTGAGTGCGGCAGATTTAGGCTGGGGGATTTCCTGCGGCCCTGCCCCATGCACCAAGACCGAGAAGCCTCGCCTGGTGGGGAGAGGTGGGCTACGTGACTCACCCCGGGGAGGCCCGACCTCCCTACCCTGGGGGAGCAGATGGCTGGATCTCTGACCTCAGACCTCACGGCCTTAGATGATGTGTGTCCCTTAATGTCTGCATTGTGGTTCTGTCTGGAATGGATCAATTTCTAAACTGTAGCAGAATTGTTTTGGGTGTTCTATCAACGTTATTAAACTCTGAAGTTTCTCTCCAGCGACAGAATCCTTGAGCCAGTGGTTTTTCTTCTTAATTTATGTATCCTCAACAATGTCCTGAACATAGTAGGTGCTTAATAAATATTTGCTGAATGAGTACATGCGTCAATCTGACGTGCCCTGGCTCACCCCTGCTGACTTCATTTTATCTTCTTGCTAAGCGAGTTACACACATGCTGGTCTCCTGTCTGTTCCTTGAGCCTGTCAGGCTTGCTGGGCTGTGCTCTCTATCCAGACACCTGGATCCCCAGCTCTCTGCATACCTGCCTGTTATCGCTGAGGTATCAGCCCAAATGCCATCTCTCCTAAGAGGCTTTTCCTAACCACCCAATTCCAGGTTGGTCCTCCAGTCACTATCATATTACTCCGTATTATTGATCGGAAATACATGTATTTGCTTTCTTTTTATCTGTCTCACTAGCCAGCAACTTTCAGATTAAAAAAAAAAAAAAAGTTGTCTTATTCAGTAATACAGCCATGTGGCCTGGGACAAAATCTAGCACAAAATAGTGATTTTTAAAATATTTGTCAAATAAATTAATAATTTCTTGTGGCCGAGAAAACGGGTGAGGTTCTGAGGAATGTGAACGTTTGGAAAGAGCTTGTAGACTCCATCTGTCGCCATTTCTGTACTTGTACCCCATATCTTCTGGGCAACAAATGGTATCAAAACCCCCCGTGTAGAAAGCCCTCAATCAATATGCGCTTGCATGTTTTCTCTAGGTAGAATGGGACCCAGACCCGGAGTGCCCTTTCTGCCTCTTGTTTTGGGAGAGTGTTCCTTCTTCACTGCCTTCACTTCCTCTTCTCCCGCCTGCTTCTCAGTCACCTGGACAGCCTGCCCTTTCCCCTCTGCCACACACTGCCATTAAGTAACTGTTTTTACCACCTTCCTGCTTAGAGACAACACAGAATCGTTAGTGGACTGCCTGGGGAATCCCAGTAATCAGCCTCTATTTCTAATTCTTAAGGAGGTCTTGAGCAAGATGATCAACTTTTCTGAGCTAGCTTTTTTTTTCTCTTTAAAACAAGAGCATTAAACTGTGAATTTTTGAAGCTTCTATCCAGCAACCAATGAATTACTTCTGCAGCCTTCTGCCCTCCTTGGGCCATTCATCCAACAGTCAGATGAACGTTTAAGAACACAACCAGTTCATAAACTGGTACTTGACCATGAATGACAAATTCATACTGATTTTTTTCTTCTGTCATCCACTTGCAATATTTCTCTCTTATTCATACTCTTCTTGTAGATATATTTCTCCAGCTTGGACCATCTGCTTTTCCCCCTAAACTCAGAACCTGCCATGGCTTCCTCCTTACCGTCAAAATCAGCATTCAGTATGGCCTAAAAGGTCCACATGCCCAGAGTTCCTATCAAAATCTCAAATTTTTCTTTTGGGTTAAATAGGAAAAGAGGAGACTATTAACACCAGAAGTCAGAAGAGTAAGATTTAAAAAAAAAAAAATTATTGGTTTTGGCTGGGCGTGGTGGCTCAAGCCTGTAATCCCAGCACTTTGGGAGGCCGAGGCGGGCCGATCACCTAAGGTCAGGAGTTCTCGACCAGCCTGGCCAACATGGCAAAATCCCGTCTCTACTGAAAATACAAACATTAGCCGGGCGTGGTGGCGTGTGCCTGTAATCCCAGCTACCCGGGAGGCTGAGGCAGGAGAATCGCTGGAACCCAGGAGGCAGAGGCTGCAGTGAGCCAAGATTGTGCCACTGCACTTCTGCCTGGGCAACAGAGCAAGACTCCGTCTCAAAAAAAAAAAAATTATTGATTCTGTGGGGTTGGGGGGTTTCCCACAAGAGACTTGCTGTACTCTCCTCCACCCTAACCCTGAACACCTCTCTTTATTACAATAATAATTCCCAGTTGTTCATGTCTTGCAGTTCTATGACTTTTACTCTCTAGCTCTTGATTATGGAAAGAAAGGAAGAAGGGAAACACTTCAACAAAGCTGGCGTATTTCACATCCATAGTAGAATCTCTATTCATTTGTGCTTTATCTCACTCATAAAAATTTTAAGGCATCACAAGCCTGGTGGATTTTCACACTATGTAAGATTTTTACTTCCACTTTTCTTCTTGTTATTTTCTTCCTCTCAGTTCTGCCAACATCACAAATTTTGGCAACAACTCCGAAAGAAGTCAAGCCTTCATGTGTGCACAATAAGGAATGGTCTACAGAGTGTGTAGGATAGCTGAGTCCATACTTACACATGGTTAAGGATAACTGGTTAATAGTGTATTTAGTGAGCAGTAACCTTAAACTTTAAGGTGGCGGTGTTTAAAAGCCCGCAAGCAGAAGCTCAACCATTAGAGTTAGCCAAATCATTATAGGTGTTAGTGATAATTTCAGAGCATCAAGATTAACCTCTATCCAACAGAGAAGTAATTATGTAATCTTCACTGGCCTCTTGAACATATTGCAGTCCAGGGTTTCTCAACCTCGGCAAAACTGACATTTGAGGCTGGATACATTTTTGCTCTAGAAGGCTGTCCTGTGCACTGCAGAATGTTCAGAAGCATCTCTGACTTGTGCTCATTACATTTCAGTAGCACCCTCTCAGTCATGACAATCAGAAATGTCTCCAACCCCCTCTCCTCAATAACCAGCTAAATCTACACTAATAGATCATGTTAGTTCTCTGCAGAATTCTTAAGCCACAATTGTTCATTATTAACAAATTGAGAACAAGAAGTTAAAATGAAGATCTAATCTAGCCAAAGCCTGACTAAAAGTAAAAGAAAGTGAGAATCTAATGAATTGTGGAAAGAAGAAAAAAGGTGGAACCTGGAACTACGGAAGCAAAAGCACAAAACATTTTCTCTGTTTCTCCAGCATTGTCCAGAGAGAGGCTGCCCAGTTGAATACCTGAGTTCTCAAGGCCATGCAGAACAGCCTGACCATGAGGATGGGCCCCTGTGGTATACGACCTCAACTCTTCAAAGGTCACAATTTCCAGCCTTCCAAGCAGTCTTCTAATTATGAACGTGGTTTCCTCCTTTCGCTGAAGAGATTTGCGGGGCTCAGATCTCAGCACGGATATCTGGAGAGTGTGGGGTCAGGGAAGAGCAGCAAGAGGAATGGATATCCAGGTAAATGACTGGGAGGGCAGAGAATCTGGGAGCAGGTAAAGGGAAAATGTTCTCAGGCATTTAGTTGGGAGTCAACAAAAGTCTGTGGACAGAGTTCCTGGGAGGATTGGCAGAGGCTTGCAGGAATGAAGTTATCAGGCAGATTATAAAACAGTGCCAAGCAAAGGGGAAATAAGACAGAGCCCTGGTTCCTAAAATTTGGAGGTCACATTATTATCAGCCTGCAGGTCAGAACATACATGCCTGTGTATTCTCAGGACAACTGTTGTTTTCCCCCAAATGGTAGCTGCCTGAGGGCAGGGACCAGTTGTTAATCAATCTCAGTATCCAGCATCTAAGATAGTCCCTAGTGTGTGGGGAACTATGTAGATGTTTGTTGATTTAGGAAAGAAATACATCTGGGAGGCTGTTGAATTTGTCCAGGCATAAGGATCACAAATAATTCATCCTTTGATATGCCAGAGACTCCATCAATACTGCATCTCCTCATGTTTCCTTTTCTTGAGCAATGTAGTTTCCATGTGAGATGGCTCTCTAGGAGTAACCAGAATCCTGTTGTCTTTTGTTTCTGAAACAGATATAGGGCACACTCAACAGAGAGAGAGAGAAAGAGAGAGGAGAGAGAGAGGAGAGAGAGGAGAGAGTCCTTGCACACAATGCTTCCGTGTATTGCTGTACTCCACCCCTTGGTCTACAGCCATAGCCGTACTTGGCAGAGCACAAGACTCTCTGTGGTTCTGCCTCTTGGCATCATGTTGTTTTTTGATCTTTGGTAAGAAACCATGCCTGACTTATGCATGGCCATCATGGAAGTTGCTTGTGTTCATTTTCCGTGTGTGGAATGGTCTGACTTGGCCCATCTACTTCCCTGTCTCTACAAAGGAAGGTCTACCTGGGACAACAAACTAGGCCCTTAAAACTTTTCATGGTTTAAAAACGAAACAAAACAAAAACAACATTTTATGGTTGATGACTCGAGCCCAAAACAGTTAACAAAATCTGAACCACGAATACCTTTTTAATCTCAGGAGAATAATCATCATTTTCATCAGTGTTTGACAGGACTCCTGTAAGACAAGAGCTTGGGCATTGCTTCCTCAGCCTAACTTGCCTGGGCGGAAGGAGACATGGCCAGAAGGTCTTACCATTTGCCTTGTATGTGGTACTCTTTCTGAGGTCTCCAACTCTCTTAAAATCCTGTTCAAAATGATCATGTGGACTGCAGTCTTGTGGACAGCAGGAAATGGACCCGAAGTGTCCCTGCACAGAGGGTCCTAACCATCTGTGCTTGCTGCACCTGCACCGTCAGCTACCCTCTCTGAGGCACACTTCTCCTTCTTCAAATGCCTGCAGGGACCAGGGGGCAGCCCAGAAGTGAAGACAGAAGGGAGGACAGCAAGGGAAGCCCCAGCTCAAAGAAGTGACTGGGCTAGGGCGGCCCTCCTTAAAGATGCTTCTGCCTGCCTGCCGAGTGTCACTGTTGAGCTCTTCCCTAGTGCAGAGCTTTGCACTGCTTTCATTTGTTTTTGTTATTCACTCTTTCATGCAAAACTGAAATTGAACTGGATCTGAAGACACTGAAAAATGTCTGGGTAGGGGGCTGCAGGGAGCAGGGGTTTTCCTGAGAGAATGGAATGTCCCATGAGAAATTTCACTTACCATGAGAGGGGAAGTCCATTTCGTATGACATGATATAACACTGTCATTATAAACTCTCCGTTGGTTTCACATGTGTTAATATTTATCATTCTTTTGATTAGTTATTCATCAAGAAAACCCTGTGAATTCTGAAAAAATCATCATGTATCAAGGGTTCCTCAGGCTAGATGATGGACCCAGGATCATTTTCTCTATTCTTTGCAACAGAGAGCTTGCTTTTTATTTTTATTTATTTATTTTTTTAACCAAACACCACTTGGTCTGCAGGTGAGGAGCTGTCCTTGCCCACATGAGACAATCTCATCTGAAGCAACAACCTGGTACCAGGATATCATGTTTACTCATGAGAATACCGTCGACCATTGACCTTCAAGTGAAGGTTGATCTGTACTTTTTTTTTTTTTTAAGACAGAGTCTCACTCTGTCCCCAAGGCTGGAATGAAGTGGTGCGATCTTGGCTCACTGCAACCTCTGCCTCCTGGGTTCAAGCGATTCTTGTGCCTCAGTCTCCCCAGTAGCTGGGATTACAAGGGCATGCCAACACTCCCTGCTAATTTTTTATATTTTTAGTAGAGACAGGGTTTCACCATGTTGCCTAGGCTGGTCTTGAACTCCTGAGCTCAGGCAATCCACCCACCTCGGCCTCCCAAAGTGCTGAGATTACAGGTGTGAGCCACCGTGCCTGGTCTGACCTGTGCTTTTCACCTTCTCTGCACACCTGTGTGCCCTTTCTACATGGGGCCTCAACTCCAGACCCCGCAAACAACAACTAACATGAGGACAACTGCTGGGAAGAGGCTGAAGCAATTGCAGCATGATCACACAAGGTTGGGATAGATTTCTTTCTCATCTCTCATACACACCCCTTGCAAAAAAATAGGTGGGCAGAAAAGTCTGGGGCTAAGCTTGCCCTGTTTCATCAATGTACAGTTTGCATTACTGAACAGACTAGAACAATGTGTCAATGTAAAAACATTTATATCTGGCTTAAATGACAACAGTTTATCTGCCCTCCCTCCCCAAAATACAAAGCAGTACCTATCTTACCTCTGATGTAATTAAAGTGTCCATGATGGTAACTTTTCCCAAGCAAAGCCACAGTCTGTCTTAAAGGTGAGATGAGATCTTTATCTCTACAGACAGAAAATGTTGTAACTTTTAAATGGCAGTTCACCTCCTGCTTGTTGAGGTTTACAGGGCAGCTTAACAGGTGGGTAGGTGCAGTGGATGGGCAGAGAGATAACTGATATATAAGACAGAGAGATATGTGGACATATTTTCTTACTGTAGTGCTTTTAAAAATATGTACAATTTAAAATAAACTTTTGCTTTCAAAATTTCACTATTTTTGTTGCAGTGATAACCACCAAGCCAAAGGGACAGGAAGCTCTCGGCATTGTTGGTGTTTTACTCAAGCCATGGTATGAAGCTTCTTTTTGGTCTAAAAGTATGTGTTTTTAGTAATAGCAACTCTAGAACTTCAGAGGCAGTGTAAGTGTTGGTTCTAATTGGTAACGTTACATATCTGAGGATCACAGGGCTGCGGAAGTTAAGACATCTAATCGAGTGCTCGCAGAACAGCTCCTTTGAAACAGAACATGCTTTCCTCTAGTTGTGGATTAAGTGCAACCCTTTCACAGACTTAACAATAATAATCCCTTGGCCTTCTTTTTCTGTTTTCTTAAATATATGGTTTTAGTTGTATCGGTTAGTTTCTATTTAATTTGGTAGAATTTTTTATTTCTAAAATGTTTAGTCACCACATTAAAAGGGGGCACAATCTTCTATTTGGTATAAAAGCCTCTGTGCTACGGTTTGCCCAGGATTTTCCTGATTTTGACACTGAAAGTTCTGTGTCCCAGGAACCCCTTTAGTCACGAGCAATGTGGGGCAGTTGGTTACCCTCAACTGTGGTATATTTTGGTGAAATATACTTTAGCTTTAATGAGAAAAAGACAATTATCATTTAAACACCATCCTCTTTAGGTACAAATAATTCCCTGTGTGAGATGTTGAAGGAGAGCAGCTGCCTCCCATTGCTGGGCAGGGCCAGGCACACTCAGCTGCTTGGAACACATGGCAGGAACGAATTTCTGCTCAAGGCTTGGATCAGGCAATTGATGCTTTCTGGAAGGGAAATAATGGCTGAGGAAACGTCGATGTCAATATTTCTTCATGGAGAAAAACACATTTTGATCTTTCTTCATGGAGAAAAACACATTTTGATCTTTTCCTCAAACAAGTCAATAAGGTATCAGGTTCTATTTGAATCTTTTCCCTGGAAAACATCTTACAATTATGAGAGTCTAATAACTTTTTCTTGTAACATTAAATTGAGGCAATTCCAATGCTTCAAACAGTATTTATTTAAAAGGAGATGGACAACCTCCTAAAAGTTGTTAGATTTTCATGAAATGGAGAGACTGAGTGCATCAATGAGTTGGTAATTAATCACTTTTAATTTCCCCTCTTAAGTCTCCTCCTCCATACTGTCCCTCAGCCCAGGTAGCTCTCCAGGTAACAGGGTTTCACAAGCCCTGTGCACATTCTCTATCTCCAAGCATTAAGGGGCCTTTTTAATTCATTCAACCAACATTTTTTGAGAACCTCCTATGTTCTAGGCATTGTGCTAGTAACTGGGGTTACAGAAATAACAACCTGCCCCACTCTTAACTCGGTGTTGCTTTATAACTTCATGGGAAAGAGGGACCCACACGTAAGTGATTCCATGTCATGAAGTATACTCTGAGTTTGTAAAACTTGCTTTGGGAACTTAGAGGAAGCCATGCTTAGAACTGCCTCAGCTGACTCTTCCTTTCCGTGAAAACAAGCATCCTTACCTTTCTGTACTGCTGTGAAGTTATTTCAAACATACATACTTATATGTGTTTCCAGATGAACAACTTTGGTTATTTAGGGCAAAGAATATGATTGGCCTGTCTTGGGCAGTTCTGGAGCTCTTGGTTTATGAAGTATCGCTTCCAAAGGGGCCATATGTAGGGAGTGATGCAGGTGCCGTATGCCAAGTGAAAGGGCCATATGACTGTGCTCCTGCTTCTCAGCCGCAGCTGATTTGGTGAATTTCCACCTTTCACTGTGCCCACCCCTTCCCTTCTCCCTTTATATGGGGTGCTCACAAGTACCATTTCTGAGAACAGCCTTTGAATTTAGAAAGGCTACAAATCTATAAAAGTGGCATAATTCTGTGAATACAGGTTTGGGAACGTTTTAGTCGTGAAGGGAAACCTTTTCCTCTTGAGGAAAACTCAGCCTTGAGAGATAGATGGTTGGCAATGAGCTAAATCAGCAAATCAAATTTGACATGTATTGAAGAAAATCAAATTGTAGAGCGTGAAAGGCCTTTGAAGATCATCAGATGCTAGTCTAAGCCACTTAGCAACGGACGCATTCAGTGATCTTTCGCGGCCACACGAATCGGCAGAATCAGAAAATATTCGCTGTCCAGATTCCCTCCTCACTACAAAGGCCCCTCCTCTGGGGCTCCCCCTACCTTTCCACTGTCTAGCAACTAAAGGGTGAACACCAGGCACAGCTTGGGAGCCTTCAGGCTTTAAACCCCACTCCTGCTCCAAGCTGCTTTGTGTTTGCTCAGTATCCATGGTATCGTGATATTTTGAGCATCTCCCCCGGAAGGCTGAGTACAATTCCAGCAGGAGGTGAGGACAGCAACCACTGCTTCTGGTGGGAGGAGGGATGTGAGCAGCCACACAAAGGCTGGAGTCGGAGGATGTTCTGGAAAGCAGGAGGCGGTGGTCATGGTCACGGCAGGAGCAGGAGAATTTGAAGGTCGTTTGAGGCCAAGTAAGGATGCCTTGCTTCCCACATCTCTCTGAGCATCATGAGATGAACAGGAGCAGGACTGTAGGGGAAGAAGTGGAAGTAGGAGATCCCCAGGAGCCGTTTCCAAGTCCACAACACTCAGTGCTCGGGAGGCTGGAGAGAATGCTGGGGAGAGTGGCGCCAGAAGCCATCGTCAATGATGGCATTGAACTGAACACCTGGCGCCCGCTCTACATACATCAGACCCCGGGCAAGGCCCTGCGGGTGCACAAAGAGCAAGGCATGGTTTCTGCCCCCAAGGAACCTGCACCTCCATAGGGAGCACAGAGCTGCACGCCCAGGTGTTCAGGGCAGAAGAAAGAAAGTGGTCCAGGGTACTCGCAGCCAAGGCACCCTCAAGTGTCCCAGCAGCAGCAAATGAAACTCCAGTCAGACAGTTGAAGCACCTTCAGTGAGGAATCACTTCATGAATCGCATGGCAGGGTGAAGAGAACCCAGAGGAGCCCTGGGCTTGGAGACCAGACAGTGGGAAGCCGTGACCATCGTAGGCCTGAAGGGGCGGAGGAAGAACAGCCTCGTTGGAGCCCAGTGGCCGCTGGAGCCACGGCAGGGGGGCCACCTGCGGAGTAGGTGGGGATCTCTAGGGGCTGAGTTGAGTCCCTCTTCCCCAAATTCCTATGAAGCACCTCAGAATGTGAGTGCATTTGGAGATCGGGCCTTTCAAAAGGTAAGTCAGGTCAAATGAGGCCATCAGGGTGGCCTGGATCCAATCCGACTAATGTCCTTACAAGAAGAAGAGGTGGGGACACAGAGACACAGAGGGAAGCCCATGTGAGGACACAGGGAGAATGAGCCAAGGCGAGAGGCCTCAGAGGAAACGCACTCTGCCTACACCTGCCTCTTGAATTTCCAGCCTCCAGCCTCACAGACTGTGAGTAAATAACTGTTGTTTATGCCACTGAGTCTGTAGTGCCTCACAAACTAATGCAGGGAGAGACACACCTGCTGCCACAGATACAGCTTGATCATGGACAGCATGGGGAAGAAACGCCCTGGCCTTTCTCAACCTTTTCCAAACGCCAGACCCACCCGGAAGCCAGCAAAGGAGTCCAACTGATGTGTTCCATATGTGCCAAGCTCCCAGGACACCTGTGGGGCAAAGAGAGAGGGAACATAAACAGGGAGGGAAAAAATAATCTGCAAAGGCATCCAGTCAGGTATTGAGAAATCAAGACAGGCTGCATGGAGGAGGTGAATCGTGAATGGAGTCTGGAATAACAAATGAGTTAATATGAGTAAAGCACTTAGAATCCTACTTGTCCTACAATAAGAGGTATCTGTGTCATTTTTACCACATATTGATATTTATTACTACTTCTAATTCCTCCTAGAAATACTGGAAGGTTGGTATTATTTTCTCCTTTTTACAGATAGGAACGTTAGACTCAGGGAGGCTGAGCAAATGGCTAAGCCGGGATCCACACTCAGGCCTGCCTGGCTCCAGAGCCACCAGTCCAGGCTGCATCCCAAGAGGAAAAATCCCTCAGCCAGAGGAGGAAGCCTGGGTGAAGGGCAGTTCCGGAGCAGGGTGTTGCAGACTCAGAGGCGTGGTGGCGAGAGAGATGGGCACCTTTGGGGACCCAAGGTGGTACACCAAGGTGGGCCTACAGAGTGCAGCATGGGGAGAGGCAGGAAGCGAGCGGAAGGGAGGCAGGGACAGATGACGATCATCCTCTCCTGCCTTGCCAGAAGCTGATACTCCTCCCAGGGAGCTTGGGAAGCCTTCCTGGGATTCAGATTTTAGATTGAACATCTTGAGAGCAGTTTAGAGGATGTCATATTCTAGCAAGTAAGACTGAAGGCGGGGAGATCAGTTAGAAGACCTTTACAGAAAGCCAGGTAAAAAATAATGAGGACCTTAACCAAAGATGGGCCTTGGGGAAGGGGGACTGAAGGGTGCTGGTGGAGGAAGCCACAGACTGCAAGATGTGCAGGACTTGAAACTCACTGGATTTGGGAAATGGGGAGGAGGAAGACGCAAAGGGTAACTCTGGGTTCCTGGCTTAGGGAACTTCATGGATGGCGGTGCCCTTCCCAAAGGCTGGGAGCAGAGGAGGAGGAACCTGTTAAGTGAGAAAATGATGATTGCTGCCCAGACACCTGAGTTTCAGGTGCCTCTGGGTTACCCAAGCAGAAAAGACAGAGCCAAATTCCATGAGAAAAAACAGCAAACCCAACAACAACTTAAATTTTGTTAAGTGTCTTACAGCAAAATCACAAGATTTTGATTGCTCTAAAAATGATTATTTGTTCCACCTTTGGGAGCAGTGAAAGCACATGCCACCATGAGTAGGTCATCGCTATAAGCATGTTACTTTAATAATTTTAAAATAAGCAGCTGAATTCTAATTTTGCAAAAAATACTTAAATAAGCATTGGAAGATAAAAAGGTAAGAGTGAAAGATGAATAAGACAGAGTCTTCGAGGAAGAGCTGATGGTGGAGTCACAAAACTGAAACAAAGGGTGGCTAAAGAGGATGGAGTGCCAAGGCCTGGCACGGCGGCTCACACCTGTAATCCCAGCACTTTAGGAGGCTGAGGCGGGTGGATCACGAGGTCAGGAGATCAAGACCATCCTGGCTAACATGGTGAAACCCTGTCTCTACTAAAAATACAAAAAATTAGCCAGGCGTAGTGTTGGGCGCCTGTTGTCCCAGCTACTTGGGAGGCTGAGGCAGGAGAATGGTGTGAACCCAGGAGGCGGAGCTTGCAGTGAGCCAAGATCGCACCACTACACTCCAGCCTGGGCAATGGAGCGAGACTCTGTCTCAAAAAAAAAAAAAAAAAAAAAAAAAAGATGGAGTGCTGAGTGCAAAAGCAAAATGGACTTGGTAGATACTGAGGTTCCCACCTGAACACCTATATGACGATGATGGCTACTTCTGGTAAGTCAGGTCAAATGAGGCCATCAGGGTGGCCTGGATCCAATCCGACTAATGTCCTTACAAGAAGAAGAGGTGGGGACACAGAGACACAGAGGGAAGCCCATGTGAGAACACAGGGAGAATGAGCCAAGGAGAGAGGCCTCAGAGGAAACACACTCTGCCTACACCTGCCTCTTGAACTTCCAGCCTCCGGCCTCACAGACAGCCTCACTGAGAGCCACTTCCAGTCCTGTTGTCAGCAGTGGAAGGTAATGCTGGGCGTAAAGGCCAGATGAAGGCAAGGACTCTTAAATTTGACTGGAAGAGTGAATTATACATGTCATGCAGTAGGCCTCTTTCTAATCTATCATTTCAAATTTGTCAGCTTAAATAGGCAACGGATATTGAGGAAGTGAACTATGCGATGTCCTGAATTGTAGAGATAATTTTTAAAAGTCAATGTATGCTAAATAAGTAACCTCAAAGATGGTTTTATGAGATCTTAATTTGAAATAATTTATTTTATCATGCACCTCATTTCCAGTAGTTTGGTAGTTCTGACAACCCCAGCTGTGCTCAGCAGATAGCCTTAGGAATGAAACGGTATGAAAGAGAGACAGCCTCATCGAGAGATGGCTCTCAGTCCTCCTGAAAGTTCTTTGCAATAACATCCATGCAGTTATACTGTTGGTCAAATAATGTCCCTAACATATATTTAGAGAATAATAAAGATAAGGCACTGTCTTTATTATTTATTACAACAGAGGAACCTATGTGCTTTGCAAGACCAATTAAAGAAGATTCTAATGCATACATTTAAAGCTCTGTTTTATTATGTCCTTACTGAGATTTCTACTCATAAAGAAAGACAGATGAGGAGTTGAAAATATACAGAATGGCAGGAGTACTGCCCCCACTCTAACAAGTAAAAACTAGATATACCATAGAATTGTAACTTTTCCTGAGCGCATCAAATACCTGAGGTCATAGGGTAACCAAATAGTTCCAAATCCAAAAAAAAGACAATTCTTTCCGAGGGTAGAAAGGATTTGAGCATTTGTCCACCAGTGGTAAATGGGAGAAACAGAATCCCAGCTACCGTGCAAGTAGATAAGAAGATAAACCTTCAAGACAGATTTCTAGAGAACAACAATGAGCTAGTATGAGAGAAAGCCACTTCCAGGCTCTCCCCACAGCCTTCCACCAGATTCTCATGAGAGGCCACTTCCAGGCTCTCCCCACAGCCTTCCACCAAATTCTTACGAGAGCCACATCCAGGATCTTCCTCCACAGACTTCCACCAAATTCTCTTGAGAGCCACCTCCAGGCTCTGCCCACAGCCTTCCACCAGATTCTTATGAGAGAGATTTCAGGGCTGCGGTTGGAGGATTAGAAGGAGCCTCAAGGTGGTGCAGACGTAGACTGGGAAAGCTCTGTCACTGCGGGACACTCGTGAGTCCCACCCAGACCCTCTCTTCTGTGGAACTAAAGCTTTAATTCACTTTGAGGAGCAGGAAACATTCAGTCCCAGGGCACAGGTGAACATGCCTATGTTTGAGGAAGAAATTTTTTCAAGAAACCCTCTAAACTTTGGGGAAGATAAGAAAACAATCCTGGTCCCAGAGCCCTAATGGGCCTCCTACTACTGGGGTACTGGGGGAGGGTAGAAAACACCAAACATCTAGGGTTACCAGATTTAGCAAATAAAAATACCATTAAATTTGAATTTCATAGAACAATAAATAATTTTTACTATAAGTATATTCCAATATTTGTGACATAGTGATGTTAACAAACTCTTCATTGTTTACATGAAATTTAAATTTAAATGGGAATCCTGTATTTTCCCTGACAACCCTAGGGACACAAGCTCTGCCAAAGATATGCAGGAGAATTCAGCTCCAAGGGAAGGAGCAGAAACCCCAACCCTGAAGTCCCAGACACACAGGGCCTGCCTGAGGCTGAGGCTAGACCAGGACAACAAAGAATTCTCCTGCTTCCCACCACAACGATTGTTCATAGCAAGTAAGAAGAAGCAGCCTACCACTGGGAGATGGCAAGAGCACAGAGAGAGAGAATGTCTGTGGTGCAAGAGTACCAAGGAGGCCAAAGCTGAGGATGAAGAAGGAACATTGAGGAAAACTCTCCAGGACCTGAGCAGCCATCCTAAGCACAATGTAACACCAGAGACCACGGAAGCCAGTGGTGCACTGAAGTGAACCAGAGCAGCAACAGAAGTCCAGTTCAACTCAACTCCTGACCAGATTGAGTCAGGCTCCCAAATAAACTACCAGAAGAATCCAGTTCAACTCAACTCCTGACCAGATTGAGTCAGGTTCCCAAATAAACTACCTAGAAGAAGAGTTATAACTATTTCCAGGGATAGATACTATACACCTCAGTATATCACAGCAAAACTGAAGGTAGGAACTCAAAAAGATACCGCAGGCCAAATTTCCTGGGAGAAAAAGATGGAAGCAATCCAAATGTCTATCAGCAGATGAATGGATAGACAAAACATGGCTTATACATGCAATGGAATATTAATTCAGCTTTAAAAAGTAATGAAGTTCTGATACTTAAATGAATCTTGAAAACATTATGCTAAGTAAAATAAGCTAGAACAAAAGGATAATTAGTGTATAATTCCACAGTAATTATCCAAGAGGTACCAAGAGTTGTCAAACTCATATAGACAAAAGTAGAATAGAGGTTACCAGGAGCCTGGGGGAGGTAAAAGTGAGGAATTATTATTTGGGGTGATAAAAAGTTATAGAAATGGGTGGTGCTTATGGTTGCATGTGCTGTGAATGTACTTGGTGCCACCGAATTGGACATCTATAAGTAGGTGAAATGGGCTGGGTGCTGTGACTCACACCTGTAATCCCAGCACTTTGGGAGGCTGAAGCAGGTGGGTCATTTGAGGTCAGGAGTTTGAGACCAGCCTGGCCAACATGGTGAAACCCCATCTCTACTAAAAATACAAAAATTAGCTGGGTATGGTGGCGGGCGCCTGTAATCCCAGCTACTTGGGAGGCTGAGGCGGGAGAATCGCTTGAACCCAGGAGGTGGAAGTTGCAGTGAGCTGAGATCACGCCACTGCACTCCAGCCTGGGCGACAAAGCGAGACTCCGTCTCAAAAAAATAAAAATAAAAACATAGTTAAAATGGCAAATTTTATATTATATTACATATATGTTTTACAATTTTTAAAATAACATTTTTAAAAGAGTTCATAAAAATCTCCAGGCTCAGATAGCTTCACTGGCAGATTTACCAAACATTTAAGAAAGAAATAGTGCCAATTTTACACAAACTTAGCGTAAGAATTTTCTTCCACTTAGCGTAATGTTTTCAAGGTTCACTCATGTATCAGAATTTTATTCCTTTTCAAAGCTTTCAGATAATTGAGAGAGAACACTTATCCATTCGTTCTGTGAAGTTAGCATTGCGTTGGCACCAAAACCAGATGAAAACAATACAAGAAGAGAAATCTACAGGCCAATTCCCGTCATGGATATAGGTGCAAAAATCTTCAACAAAGGATTAGCAAGTCAAATAAACGATATATAAAAATATAATAAATCATGACCAAGTGGAATTTATTCCATGAATGCAATGCTCGTTCAAATATTAGAAAATTAAACAATGTAATTCACCATATCAATAAAGAAAATAAATTATAATTTGATGAGATTCAGAAAAACCATTTGACAGAATCCAAAATCCATTTTTGATAAAAACTCTCAGCAAACTAGGAATATGAGGGAACTTCCTCCAAGTGAGCATCTACCAAAAATTTGCCAACATCATACTTAATGGTGAGAAACTAAATGTTTTCCCCTTATGATCAGGAACAAGAAGGGATGCCCACTTTCACCAACCCTATTCAACCTCATATTAGAGATCCTAGCCAAAACACTAAA
Organism: Homo sapiens; assembly: GCF_000001405.40. Lineage (NCBI taxonomy): Eukaryota > Metazoa > Chordata > Mammalia > Primates > Hominidae > Homo > Homo sapiens. The sequence goes on along the minus strand of NC_000006.12, from coordinate 276,090 downwards.
GTGAGGTGGGGAAGAGAATACACATTGAAAGAAAGAGATAAAACTATCTCTATTTGCATATGACATGATTATCTAAGTAGAAAATCTCAAATAACATACAAAAATGGCTAGAACTAGCAAATGAATTTAATAAGACCAGAGGATACAAGGTCAATACTAAAATATCAATAGTTTTATTATATAATACCAATAAAAAGTAATAATTGAAATTTTAAAAACTGTGTTATTTACAATTGTACCAATAAACAGAAAATACTTAGATATAAACCTAATAGAGTTTATATGAGGTCTGTGTGTTTGAAAATAATAAAACACTGAGATGCGAAATCAAAGATCTGAATAAATGGATGTATACCATGTGTGCCATGTCCATGGACTGAAAGACTCAATATTTCTAAAGTGCCAGTTTTCCCCCAAGTTGATCTATGGATTCAGTGCTATCCCAGTTATAATCCCTGAAGGATTATTTGTAGAAATCAATAAGCTTGTTCTAAAATGTATATGGAAAGGCAAAGCAACTGTAATTGTCAGGTAAATAATAAATATCCTTATGGTTTAAGTCACATTTAGTTGAGTTTTATGTTGCAGCGGAAAGCATCCTAACCAATAAGAAGTCAACTGTTTTGGCAACGACGTTACCTGATATCTGAAGGTAAAATGAAATAGTCTTGACAATTCAGAATAACGAATCAGCCCATTGAAAATACTTGAAATATCTACTTTAAATGTTCTTCGTATTTATTGAATAGCAATAATAATTATTATTATGATAACAATGGAATGCATTAGGCATTTTCTATGGGCCAGAACTCATCTAAGTAATTTAAATATATGAACTCATTTAATACTTACGGTTCTATAAATCAGTACTGTATTCATCCTCATTTCAATGGCTCAAAAACTGAAGAGAGGGTAAGCCTTCAGAATTATGTGCTAAGTAAGTGGAAGGAGTGGTATTTTCACCCAGTAGTGCGGCTTCAGAGGCAAACACCTAACTACTACTCTACCACATGAACTCCCTCCATATTTTCTGTGCACACTCATTCACTATGTTGGATTTCATTAGAGATAATCACAGAACAACCCTACCTGAAATCCTAATCGTTACTTTTAAAACAAATAATAAAGTTATTTTAATTTTTAATAGCATCATTAAAGTTCCCATAGATTCTACTGAATCACAGGTTAGAACTTTTTGTTTTTATTTCATATACCTGTATTTCTTAACTGCTATAATTCTAATTCTGCTAAAAGAAGAACAACTGCTAACTATTTGTCTTTGCTTGGTTGAGTTTATCCAAGTTGGTAGAGGAAGCGACAACAATAACAACACAAAACAAAACTTCAGATCTAATTCTGAAGAAAAATCAATAACAGCGTAGAAATGTCTTTGTCTTCGTAGAGTATGGACTGACAAAGGAAAGATAACACTGAGCATATCTAGGCACATATCACAGGTTTTAGGAAAACACATTTTCTTTCTAATTCAGAGAATATATGGGTTTAATCTTAAATTCTTAAATAACCAAAGATTCTTTTGGTTCTAGCAGAAAGAAATTGAATTTACTGGAATAATACTGGATGTATGTATTAGTTTTCTATTGCTGCTCTAACAAATTACCACAATTTTAATGGTGTAAAACAACACAAATTTATTAGCTTACTGTTCTGTAGCTGTAACATCTGTAACATCTGTCAGAAGTCAGACATGGGCTGGGTGCAGTGTCTCACAACTGTAATTCCAGCACTTTGGGAGGCCAACTCAGGCATATAACCTGAGGTCAGGAGTTTGAGACCAGCCTGGCCAAAAGTGGTGAAACCCCATCTCTACTGAAAATACAAAATTAGCTGTGTGTGACGGTGCATACCTGTAATCCCACCTACTTGGGAGGCTGAGGCAGGAGAATCACTTGAACTCAGAGGCAGAGGTTGCAGTGAGCCGAGATTGCACTACTGCACTCCAGTCTGGGTGACAGAGTGAGACTCTGTCTCAAAAAACAAAAAACAAACAAAAAAGAAACCAGACATGGGTTTTGCTGGACTAAAATCAAAGTTTCAGCACACTGCATTCCTTTCTGGAGACTGCAGGGGAGAATGTTTCCTCCCCACACGATTTGTTGGAAGAATTCAGTTCCTTGCAGCTGTAGAACATAGGTCCATGTTTTCTTGTTGCTGTAAATTGAGGCCAGAGGTCACAGGATTCCTTGGCTCATGGCCCCTTTACTCCATCTTCAAACAACAGTGGCTTGAATCCTTCACACATTGCGTCACTCTGACCCACTCTACTTTCATTGTCTTCCACTTTTAAGGACTCATCTTTAGTTTCAGTGTGCATATATATATGCACACATACCTACAGAGGGATGTCAAGGAAGATGGCCAAGTAGGAAGCTCCAAGAATTGTTCTCTCTGCCTAGTCAACAGTGGTATTGCCAGAACCTGACTGATGTAATGAGTTTTGGAACTCTGGAGTCTATTTGAAGATGTCTAGCTTCCAGAAAGAGGCTTGGCTGAGATTTAAGGATTAGGACATTCAAAAGAAATTGCTTATATGAGGAAATTTGGAAAGTCAGTATGCATGTCTAGGGAAAGATACAGACTCAGAAAAGACCTGAGGTAACCTTAAGTTTACATCTCAGGCTGATCCCCAGTATAGAATATATATATATTTTACATATATATGTAAAATAAAATAGTCTTGACAATTCAGAATAATGAATCATCCCATTGAAAATACTTGAAATATCCTCTTTAAATGTTCTTCATATTTGTTGAATAGTAAAAATAATTATTATTATGATAATAGAATGTATTAAGCACATATATATTTTACATATATGTTCTAAATATATATATATGTATATATATATCAGTAAAGACAGAAAACAGAAATTCTGGAGTTGAAAAGTACAATAACAAATATAAAATTCACTTTGGTGAAGTTTTGAAACTCTTTAGTTTCAAAAGCAGATTTGAGCAGGCAGAAGAAAGAATCAGCAGACTTGAAGATGGGACAATGGAAATTACTGAGTCAGAGAAACAGAAAAAGACTGAAGAAAAGTGAACAGAGTCCAGGGGACCCATGGGACACTGTCAAGGAGACAAACATATTCATTGTGTCAGTTCAAGAAGAAGAAAAGAGAAAGAAAGTGATTTAAATACATAGTGGCTATAAATGTAAAAAATGCTAAAGGAAGATTTTCAGGTTGAAATGAAAGGATGCTAGAAAGAAACTCAAAGCCATATGACGAAATAAAGATAGCCAATAGAGGATTTACATGGGTAATTATAGAAGTTAATATAATTGTAATTTTGTGTTGTAACTCCCCTTTTATTTTCTATGAGTTAAAAGACAAATACATAGAGAAACAATGATTAGTCATTGTTTTTGATCATGTATAATTTATGACATCAACAATTAAAAGGTACAGACAGAGCTGTAAGCTTGTGTAAGTTCAAATTAGACTGTTATAAATGGAGGTGTTAAATGTAATTCCCATGGAAACCACAAAGAAAATAGCTATAACATATATACCAAAAGAAATGAGAAAGCAATTAAAATGTTTCACTACAAAAACTCAAACAAAGTAAGACAGTAATGTGAAAGATGAAAACAAAAGGCAAAATGGAAAACAAATAGCAAAATGGCAGAAATAAGTTTCTCCTTACTAGTGAATATTTTAAGTATAAATGAATTAAATTATCAAACGAAAAGACAGAGATTGATGAATAAATTTTTAAAAATAATTCAACTATGTGCTGTCTACAAGAGACTCATTTTAGATCCAAAGACACAAAAAGGTTGAAAGTAAAAGGATGACAGAAGATATTTCATGCAAATAGTAACCAAAAGAGAGCTGGGGAAGGGATAGAAATATTATACAAAATAGAGTTAAGTTTAAAAAAAAGTTGAAAAGAGACAAGGAATGATATTAGATAGTAATAAAAGTTTTAATATAGCAAGGTGATATAACAGTCATAAACATTTACACACCTAATAACAGACCCACGAAATACATGAAGCAAAAATGGACAGAAGTGAAGAAAGAAGTGGACTGTTCTACAATGATAGTTGCAGACTTCCATAATCAATAGAACAAGCAGACAGAAAATAAGCAAGGAAATAGAGGACTAGAAGAACACAATAAACCAACTACATCCAACAGACATGTATAAAACGTCCCACCCCACAAAAACAGAATACATATTCTTCTCAAATGCAGATGGGACATTCTCTAGGATCGAACATATGTTATGCTACAAAACTAGTGTCTATACATTTTTAAAAGATTGATATTATTTTTATAAAAGTGTCTTCTCCGAATATAGCAAGTTGAAGTTAGAAATCAATTAACAAAAAGAGAAAACTGAAAAATTCACTATATATGATAATTAAACAACATTTTCTTATGCAATCAATGGATCAAAGAAGATATCACAAGGGAAATTAGAAGTTACTTATAAATAAGTGAAAATTAAAACAATATACCCAAATTTATAGGATGCAGTGAAAACACTGCTAAGAGGGAAATTTAAAGCTGTAAATGCTTACATTAAAAAAGAAGAAAGATCTCAAATCAACAACCTAAATTTATACTTTAAGGAACTTGAAAAAGAAGAACAAACTAACCCCAAAGCTGCAGAAGGAAGGAAATCATAAAGATTAGAGCAGAGATAAATGAAATAGAGAATAGAAAAACAATAGAGAAACTCAGTGAAGCCAAAAGTTGGTTCTTCAAAAAGATCAACAAAATTGAGAAACTTTAGCAAGATTGACTAAGAAAAAAAGAGAGACGACTCAGATTACTAAAATCAGAAATGAAAGTGGAGACATTACTACCAATTTTTCATAAATATGAAGGAATATAAGAGAGTACCATGAATAATTGTACACCAATAAATTAGCTAACCTAGACAAAATGGCCAAAATTCTAGAGACACAAAATCTACCAAGACTGAGTCATAAAGAAATAAAACAATTTCTGGGAGGCCGAGGTGGGCGGATCACCTCAGGTCAGGAGTTCAAGACCAGCCTGGCCAATATGGTGAACCCTTGTCTCTACTAAAAATACAAAAATTAGCCAGGCGTGGTGGCACATGCCTGTAATCCCAGCTACTCAGGAGGCTGAAGCAGGAAAATTGCTTGACCCTGGGAGGCGGAGGTTGCAGTGAGCCGAGATCGTGCCACTGCACTCCAGCCTGAGCAACAGAGCAAGACTCTGTCTCAAAAAAAAAAAAAAAAAGAAAGAAAGAAAACATTTTAGTAGATCTATAACTTGTGAGAAGATTGAATCAATAATAAAAAAGTTAAATAAATAAATAAATAAATAAATAACTTCCAATCAAAGAAAAGCCCAGGACCAGATGGCTTTACTGATACATTCTACCAAATATTAAAAGGAGAAAAAAATACCAATCCTTTCCTGACTCTTCAAAAAATTCAGGAGCAAGAAACACTTCCTAAGTTATTCAGAGGACAGCATTGCTCTGATACCAAAACCAGGGAAGAATGTGACAAAAAACTATAGATGAATATCCATTATAAATATTGAGGTAAAAATCATCAAGAAAATACTACCAAACCAAATTCAGCAGCATATTACAAGGATCATATACAGTGAGCAAATGGACTTTTGTCCTGCAATGCAAAGATGCTTCAACATATGGCAATCAATCATGTAATACACGACATTAACAGAATGAAGGAAATAGAGAATAGAAGTAAGTTCTCTTCTTCTTCATCAATAATTTCCATTGATGCAGAAAAAGCATTTGACAAAATTTAACTCTTAACTCTTTTTCATGGATAAACAACACCTCTAATTACCATCTCAATTCAGACTAGGGCCTCAACAAATACATTTGGGGAGGACACAACACTTAGTCCATAGCATAGCCACAGAACTTAGGCAAGAAAAAAGAAATAAAAAGCATTTAATTTGGAGAGGAATAGGTAAAATCTTTCTGTTTGTAGATGACATGATCTTATATAAAACCTGAAAGATTATACACACACACACACACACACACAACTAATATAAAAATTCAGTAAAGTTGCAGAATGCAAAATCAACCACAAAATTATTTGCTTTTCTGTACACTTACAATGAACAATTCAAAATTAATATTTAAAAAATTCCATTTATAATAGCGCTTAAAAGAATAAAATCTTTAGGAATTAACCAAGGAGGTGAAAGATGTGTACACCAAAAACTAGAAAACTTTGTTGAAAAGAAATTAGGGATAAATAAATGGAAAGACATCCCATATTTACGGATTGTGACTTAATATTGTTAAGATATCAATACTACCCCCAAGTGATAATCCACAGATTGAATGATATCTCTATCAAAATCCTAACATTGTTTTATGTTGACAAATAGAAAACTCCTACAATTCATACAGAACTTAAGGGACCCTGAATAGTCAACGAAAATCTTAAAAAAAGAAATATCAAGTTGGAGCATTCACACTTCGTGATTTCAAAACTTACTACAAAGCTACGGGTAATCAATACAATGTGGTAGTGACATAAAAACCGACATATAGACCCATGGATTATAATAGAAGGCCCAGAAACAAACCCTCACACATATGGATGTATGATTTTTGTCATGGATGCCAAAAGCATTCAAGGGGAAAATAAATATTTTCAACAAATGGTGTTGGGAACCTGAACATCCATATTTAAAAAAAATGAAGTTGCACCCTTACCTAACACCATGTGCAAAAATTAACTCTAAATGAATCAAAGACCTAAACATAAAAGCTGAAACTATAAAATTCAGAAAACATAGGGGAAGGATTTCATGACATTGGATTTGGTAAATATTTCTTAGATATGACACCAAAATCATGGGCAACAAAAGAAAAAAATAGACAAATTGTACTTTATCAAAATTAAAAAATTTTTGCCCAGAAAACACTATAACCACAGTTAAAAGGGCAACCCATTTAATGAGAGAAAATATTTGCATATCTAATGGGGTTTAATACCCAGACTATATAAAGAACAATAACAAAAATCACACAACCCAATTTTAAAATGAGCAAAGGACTTGAACAGACATTTCTCCAAAGAAGATATGCAGATGGCTGATAAGCACATAAAAAGATGCTCAACATCACTAATTATTAGAGAATTTCACGTGAAAACCACAAAGAAGCACTACTTCCCACTCATTATGATGGCTATTATAAAAAATATAAAAGCAATAGAAAACAAAAACAAGTGTTGACAAGGATGCAGAGAAATGGAATTCTTGTGCATTGCCGGTGGGAATATAAAATGATGCAGCCGCTGTGAGAAACAGCATGGCAGTTCCTCAAAAAAATTACACATAACATTACCACATGATCCAGAAATTCTACTTCTGCAGAGATACACAAAAGAATTGGAAGCAACGACACAAACAGATATTTTTATAACCATGTTCATAGCAGTATTACTCAAAATTAGTCAAGAATAAGAATAACCCAAAGGCACATTGATGAATAAATGGGGAAACAAAATGTGGCATTCTCTACTCTTTAGAAGCAAGTCATCCAGCAAAGCCCCACATGCATGAGCTGGCAGAGGCGGGGAGGGAGGACTAAGCGCATCTCCTGGGGAGCAAGGTATTACATAAATTATTTGTAATCCTTCCATGTGAAAGATTTGTCTGTTCTTGTCTATTTACATATTTATTTGTTTTCTTTTATTATTATTATACTTTAAGTTTTAGGGTACATGTGCACAATGTGCAGGTTAGTTACATATGTATACATGTGCCATGCTGGTGTGCTGCACTCATTAACTCGTCATTTAGCATTAGGTATATCTCCTAATGCTATCCCTTTCCCCTTCCCCCACCCCACAACAGTCCCCAGAGTGTGATGTTCCCCTTCCTGTGTCCATGTGTTCTCATTGTTCAATTCCCATCTATGAGTGAGAACATGCGGTGTTTGGTTTTTTGTCCTTGCGATAGTTTACTGAGAATGATGATTTCCAATTTCATCCATGTCCCTACAAAGGACATGAACTCATCATTTTTTATGGCTGCATAGTATTCCATGGTGTATATGTGCCACATTTTCTTAATCCAGTCTATCGTTGTTGGACATTTGGGTTGGTTCCAAGTCTTTGCTATTGTGAGTAGTGCCGCAATAAACATACGTGTGCATGTGTCTTTATAGCAGCATGATTTATAGTCCTTTGGGTATATACCCAGTAATGTGATGGCTGGGTCAAATGGTATTTCTAGTTCTAGATCCCTGAGGAATTGTGCATATTTATTTGTTTATGCAGTTTATGTTAGTATGGACTCACGATGTTTATTTTACACTTTGGGTTATAATTCAATAGTATGTTCTCTATTTTCTTGTTCACATGGTTTCAGCTTTGGCTGTCGGGAGCTCTTCCAAGTTGGCTCCTGTGTCACTTGTTCACATCCCAATTGCTTTATTTCTTTTCTTGCTGGCACTGCAAGACACTCCGGGTCTATCTTGTATTTTCCCTGTCAGTCCCATAGTCAGCGATTTCTCCAAGGAACCCTGGCTCCTTTTGTTGAAGAATGATTAGAAATTAAGACCTTGGCACTGGGTATGCCCATTGCCACTGGGGGCTCACTGACTCAAGGCCCTCTCAATGGGCAGACCTAGGATGTAAATTGTATACTAACTCATGGACACACACGGCTATAATTATTCTGTATCTGTCCATCTATATTAAGCTAACCTGAGTTCATACTTATGTCTCCAACTCTAATACGGTACCACCAGTACCACAGAGTTCATTCTAGCCTTCCCAAGGAGTGATATTTTGAAATTTTTTCCCCAGAAATATCAGTTTATGAATGCAGTTTTACATTTAATTCCAGAGAGCCCTAAAACATAGCACCATGGGCAACACCCTCCAGTGGCTCCCCCATTGCATATAGACTCAGTACCAACTCTTTTTTTTTTTTTTTTTGAGACAGGATCTCACTCTGCTGCCCAGGCTGGAGTACAATGACGCAGTCTCCAGGCACTGCAGCCTCTGTCTCCTGGGTTCAAGCAATTCTCCTGCCTCAGCCACCCAAGTAGATGGGATTACAGGCATGTGCCATCATGTGTAGCTAATTTTTTTTGGTATTCTTAGTAGAGACGGGCTTTCACCATGTTGCCCAGGCTGGTCTGGAACTCCTAAGGTCAAGTGATCCATCCACCTGGGCCTCCCAAAGTGCTGGGATTACTGGTGTGAGCCACTGTGCCCAGCTGACTCCATACCAACTCTTGAGTAGTTTGTATTTTCTGGAGTTTATATAAATGGAATAATGTACTTTGTTCACTCTTTTTGTCTGCCTGCTTTTACTCAGCATAGTTATTTTGAGATTTATTCATATTGCTGCATGTATTAATACTTAATTCATTTTTATGGTTGAGCAGTGTGAATACTCCTTTGTATGTGTTTGAATATACTACAATTTATTTATCCATGCAGTTGTTAATGGACATTTAAGTAGTTTCTAATTTATGGTGATTACACATAAAGTTGCCATATATATTTATGTACATATTTTATGCTTTTGTTTCTCTAGGTAAATAACTAGAAGTTCAATGCCTGGATCATGTAGCAGGTTTGTATTTGACTATGTTTAGCTTATATTCCCTCCACCAATTAAGGAGGGTTCCAGCTATTCTACATCCTCACCAATACTTGGCTTGGTCATCATCTGTAATTTGAGATATCTTAATTAGTATCAAGTGATGTCTTATTCCCTAATGACATATAATGTTGCATATCTTTTTCTGTGCTTATTTGCCATTCATATGATTGTCTTTGTTCAAATGTCTGTAAAAACTTACCATTTTTAATGGTTGTTTGCTTTCTTACACTTGGACTTTAAGAGTTCTCTATATATATAGCCGATAAAAGTTATTTATCAGGTATGTGATTTATAAATATTTTCTTCTAGATGGGTAGCACATCATAATAGGAATAGAAAACAGTCAGAGATACAACTCTGTCAGAGATACAATGGTTGATCTTGGGGTGGTATCACAGCAGATTACAATAGGGCTGCATTCCTCATTCATAAAAAAAAAAAAAAGCAAACCTAATGGCACCTAAAAGGTTTTCAAGGCAGTGGCCCACTGAAAGCTGTAAAAAGATACAATCATTGAAATGAAGTGCAGATAGAGTCCAGGTTATAGCAAGCCCATTTCCTAACCTGGAACAGAAGGTTAGAATGGAATAAGCAGGAATATTGACTTGTTGACAAATTATCTACCTGGCTGACCTAGGAATCCTTAGATGTCTTTTCTACTAAGGACAGATTTGGTAACAAAATATGGGACACAGCTGCACTGTTTTACATTAGAAAATTCTCTGATCAGTGGAAGTTGGCTTCAGCAGATACAACACATTGTTTTCACAATTAGATCACACCAAAGCTAATTCAATATACTTGTTACTATATAGTTTGGGATAACTAGAAAGCCACCCAGAAAGGTGAGTAAATATAGATCCCTCCCTTACACTTTGTATCAGCATACATTCTGAAGAAATTAATAATAGGTAAAAAAAAAAATGAAAAAAGAAATAAGAAAAGTACTAAAATCATTTAAGGAAAATGTTTCAAACACCCTTTGAATGAAGAATCATCAGCTATTATACAAAACTCAGAACACTTTTATAAATTCAGATACATGAAAGTCAAGTATTTCTGCATGGAAAAAGCCATTATGAACAAGTCAAGGAACAAATGGCATACTAGGAAATGAATATTTACAAAGTAGATTGGAATTAAGAAGTAACTTTTCTAGTAAATTAAGATAACATAATTATGTTATTATAACAATAGCATAAAATAATTGTTATGTGTAACAATAATTTTAAAATAAAAAATGAGCTAAGGCTATGAGCCTTAAGTTTATAGCAAAAGGAAAAAAATGACTTTTTAACATGTGAAAAGAGGCTCAGTTGCACTCATCATAATGAAAATTCAAGAACCAAGAACATTAGCAGAGATGAAAATGTTATATAGCAAGACTTGTGTTGGGAAAAGTGTAGGCATAAATTCATTTAAAAAGATATAACAATGATAAACATATATGCATAAAACAGAGCCTCAAAATATATGAAGCAAACTAGTGGAATTGAAGGGAGACAGAGTTCTACAATAACAGTTGGAGATTTTAATACCCACTTTCAGTAATAGATAGAACAACTTGGCAAAAGATAAGTAAAGAAACAGAGAACTTGAACAACATAATAAACAATTAGATCTAATCGACATGTACACAACATTCCACCCAACATAAACAGAATACGATTCTTCCCAAATGTTGGTGGAACATTTTCCAGGATGGATCATATGTTGAGTCAAAACAAGTTTCAACAAATTTTAAAAGAAAGTATACAAAGTATGTCCTTCAACCAGGAACAGAAACCAGGAACAGAAGGAAAAATGGAAAAGTCACAAATATGTGGACATTAAATTACATGCTTTTAAACAACCAATGATCAATGAAATAATCACAAGGGAAATTAGCAAATACACTGAGATGATTAAAAACTTAAGTATTACATACAAAAACTTATGAATGCAACAAAAGCAATGCTTAAAAGGAAATCTACAGCTGTAAATGCTTACCTTTATTTATTTGTTTGTTTGTTTGTTTTGAGACGGAGTTTCACTCTGTCGCCCAGGCTGGAGTGCAGAGGTGTGATCTCGGCTCACTGCAACCTCTGCCTCTTGGGTTCAAGCAATTCTCCTGCCTTAGCCTCCTAAGTAGCTGGGATCACAGGTGGACGCCACCACGCCCAGCTAATTTTTGCATTTTTAGTAGAGATGGGGTTTCACCATGTTGGCCAGGCTGGTCGTGAACTCCTGACCTCAGGTGATCCTCCAGCCTCAGCCTCCCAAAGTGCTGGGATTACTGGTGTGAGCCACTGTGCCTGGCCAATGCCTACCTTTAAAAAGAAGAAAGATTTCAAATCAATAAACCTAACTTTACACCTTTAGGATCTAAAGAAAGAAGAAGAAAACTAAACTTCTTTCTGTAAAGCTAGAAGGAAGGAAATAAAGATTAGAATGGAGATAAATATAGCTGAGAATGAAAAAAATAGGCCAGGTGCGGTGGCTTGCGCCTGTAGTCTCAGCACTTTGGGAGGCCAAGGCGGGTGGATCACGAGGTCAAAAGATCGAGACCATCCTGGCCAACATGGTGAAACCCCGTCTCTACTAAAAATATAAAAGTTAGCTGCGTTTGGTGGCATACACCTGTAGTCCCAGCTACTTGGGAGGCTGAGGCAGGAGAATCACTTGAACCCAGGAGGTGGAGATTGCAGTGAGCCGAGATCATGCCATTGCACTCCAGCCTGGCGAAGGAGCGAGTCTTCGTTTAAAAAAAAAAAAAAGAATCAATAAACCCAAATGTTGGCTTGTTAAAAAGTGCCACAAAATTGGCAAGTCTTCAGCTAAAGCAGCAAACCAAAAAGAGAGAAGACACATATAACTAAAATAAGAAATGAAAGTGGAGGTATTAGTACAGATTTTACAGAAATAAAAAATTATAAGAGAATACTATGAACAACTGTATGCCAACAAATTAGATAACCTAGATGAAATTGATGAATTTCTGGAAACACACAAATTACCTGAAGTGACTCATGAAGAAATAGAAAATCTCAACAAATATAAAACAGGAGATTGAATCAGTAATCAAAACCTCCTAACAAAGATATGTCCAAGACCAGATGGCTTCACTGGTAAATTATACTAAACATTTAAAGAATTAACACCAATTCTCTATAAACTCTTCCTCCCATCCTTGAAATAGAGGAGGGAATACTTTTTATGGGAACTCATATTATAAGGACATCATAACCCAGATGTCAAACTAGAAAAAGACATCAGAAGAAAAGTATAGACCAATATCCCATATGAATAGAGATGCAAAAACTTCAACAAAATACTAGCAAACCAAATCAAATGACACATTAAAATAATTATACACCATGACTCAGTAGGATTTACCCCAGGATGCAAAGGTGGCTCAAAATTTTGAAATAATCAATGTAACAGATCAATTAAATTAATATAACAAGGGGAAAAGATGCATGCTCATCTCAATTGATGCAGAAAAGGCATTTTCAACCCCCTTTCATGATTTTTTTAAACCCAGAAAACTAGGAAATAGAAAGGAACTGCCTAAATATGATAAAGAGCAATTATAAAAAACCCACAGCTAACAGCATACTCAATAGTGAAGCTTTCTCCTTTAAGATTTTTTAGATTTCCTCCTAACAAGACAAGGATGCCCACTTTCATTCCTTCTATTCAACATTATAAGTTCTAGCCACAAAAATTAAACAAGAAAAAGAAAGGACAGGCATTCAAATGAAAAAGGAAAAAGTAGTACTATCTCTATTTGTGAGGACATGATCCTATATATAGAAAATTCTAGAGTCGACAGGAATACAAATCCAGCAAAATCACAGGCTACAAGATTAACACAAAAAACTCAGTTGTGTTCCTATATACCAGCAATAAACAATCAAAAAAGAAAATTAAAGCAATTCCATTTATAACAACTTCTAAAAGAATAAACACCTAGAGATAAATGTAACTAAGTGGGTGAAAGAATTGTACAGTGAAAACTACAAAACTTTGCTGTAGGAAATTAAAGAAAGAAATTAAAGAAATAAATGGAAAGACATTTTGTGTTCACAGATTAGAAGACTTAATACTGTTAAGCTGTTAATAGTACCTGAAGCAATACATAGATTCAATAAAATCGCTTTCACAATTCCAGCAGCCTTTGCTGCAGAAATGAAAAAGTCAATCCTCAAATTCATAGGCAATTGCAAGGGCCCTGGAATAGTCAAAACAATCTTTAAAAAGAAAAACAAATTTGGAGGAGTCACACTTCCTAATTTCAAAGCTTACAAAGTTACAAAAAGCAAAACAATGTGGTACTGGCCTAGATATAAACATATAAACCAATGTAATAGAATGAGAGTCCAGAAATAAACCCATACATCTATGGCCAATTTATTTTATTTTATTTTATTTTATTTTATTTTATTTTATTTTATTATTTTATTTATTTTTGAGATGGAGTCTTGCTCTGTCACCCAGGCTGGAGTGCAGTGGCATGATCTCAGCTCACTGCAAGCTCCACCTCCCGGGTTCACACCATTCTCCTGCCTCAGCCTCCCAAGTAGCTGAGACTACAGGCGCCCACCACCACACTTGGCTAATTTTTTTGTATTTTTAGTAGAGACAGGGTTTCACCATGTTAGCCAGGATGGTCTCAATCTCCTGACCTCATGATCTGCCCACTTCAGCCTCCCAAAGTGCTGGGATTACAGGCATGAGCCACCGTGCCCAGTATGGCCAATTTATTTTTGACATAGATGCCAAGTTCATTCAAGGGAGGAAGTAATAGTCTTTTCCACAAACAGTGCAAAGACAATTGGATTTCAATATGCAAGAGAATGAAGTTGGACCCTTACCTCACATCATATATAAAAGTTAACTCATGGATCAATGATCGTAAAATCTTTGAATACACAGAAGATTTTTTTAGGGCAGTGAAAAGATTCTGTATAATACTGCAATGATGGATACATTTGTTTAAACCTGTAGAATATACAACACAAAGTGTGAATTCTAAGGTAAACTACGAACTTTGGGTGATTATGGTGTGTCAAGGTAGGTTCATTAATTGTATGCACCACTCTCATGAGATATTTTGATAGTGGGGGAGGCTGTGCATACGTAGGATAAAAGGCACATGGGAAATTTTTGTATCTTCCACCTAATTTTGCTGTGAACCTAAAACTCCTCTAAAATAATAAAGTCTTAAAACAAAACTCTTAGAAGACAACATAGGAATAAGCTGTTATAATCTTGAGTTCAGTAGTAGATTTTCAGGACACCAAAAGCACAAGAAACAAAAGAAAGAGTAGATAAATTTGACTTCATCAAAATATTTGTATATCAAAGGACATTATCAAGACAGTAAAAGACAACTACAGAATGGGAGAAAATATTTGCAAATCATATATCTGGAATGGGATTAATATCCAGAATATATAAATAACTCCCGGAACTCAACAACAAAAATACAAAACATATAACCCAATACATAAGAAGGAGAAAGGACCTGAATAGACATTTCTCCAAAGAAGATTTGCAAATAATTGGTCATTAATCTCAACATTATTAATCATTATAAAAATGCCAATCAAAACCACAATGAGACACCACTTTACAGCTACTAAGATGACTATAATTTTAAAAACACAAAATAAATGTTTACAAGGATGTAGAGAAATTGAAACCTTTGTACATTGATAGCAGGCATTTAAAATGGTGCAGTCATTGTGGAAAACAGTTTGGTGTGGTTCCTTCAAAAGTCAAGTGTAAAATTGCCACATGACCCAGCAATTCCATTCTTACATATATAACCAAAGAATTGGAAGTGGGGACTCAGCTACTTGTATGATAATGTTTATTGCAGATTGATTCTCAACAGCCAAAAGATGGAAACACCCCATATCCATCAGTATATGAACGGATAAACAAAATGTGGTATATGCATACAATGCAATATCATTTAGCCTTGAAAAGGAATAAAATTCTGATACATGCTACATATGGATGAACCTTGAAGACATTATGCTAAGTGAAATAAACTAGTCATAAAAAGACAAATACTGTACAGTTCCACTTATATGAGGTACCTGTGTCAGGCAAATTCACAGACAGAAAGCAGAATGGTCGTTGTTAGGGGCAAGAATGTGGAGGGAAGGAGGAGTTATTGTTTATTAGTTAGAGTTTCAGTTCAGAAAGATGAAAAAAGTCCTGGCAATGGAGAGTGGTGATGGTTGCACTACAATGTGAATGCGATTAATGCCACTGAACTGTACACTTAAAAATTGTTAAAATGGTATATTTTATGTTACGTATCTTTTACCACAATAAAAATTTATCTAAACTTTCATTTTTGCTTTTTAGCTACCTGGTTAAAACGAAACAAAGATGTAAGTTTGGGGTTTATTTTTGACCATTAAAGAGCACTCAGTTTGTGGTTGTAATATGCTTCCTGCAATATAGTAAGCCTTAAAACGAAAGTGTCTCTTGCACAGCCTAGATGGTCAATAAATCCATTGTGTAAATTTTGTTGGTGTTTGTGATTTGTCACCTATGCCTTCTTATAATAATTGTCCCTTGAGGAACTGTCTCAATGAGAATCCTCAAAGTAACTGTAATGTGCCTTATAAATATGTTGATTTATGCAGGGGTGTCCAATCTTTTGGCTTCCCTAGACCACATTGGAAGAAGAATTGTCTTGGGGCACACATGAAATACACTAACTATAGTTGATGAGCTAAAAAAAATTGCCAATAAATTAAAAAATCTCATAATGTTTTAAGAAAGTTTACAAGCTTGTGTTGGGCCGCATTCAAAGCCATCCTGGACTGCGTGTGGCCCATGGGCCATGGGTTGGACAAGCTTGATTTATGTGGAAGCACATAAAAGGCAAATGCACACATACGTGAAATTCTCTCCAAAGATTAATTACTTGGTCACCGCAGTTTCTTTCCACCAGAATGTAAATTCTATTTTGTTTAGTGCTGCATGCCTAGCTACTACAATAGCATATAGTAAGTGCTCAATAAATAACCGTTGAAAGAATTCTAACACTAATTTGAAAGAAATCCTCTGTCTTCAGCTTCTTAGCTTGTAATTTTGATGTTAGGGACAAGCAACATGGAAAGACTCCCAAAACAAAAGAGGCACCAGTGTCAGCAGCAGGGAAAGGGAAGAGGGGAGGAGGAAGCGATTGCGTGCCCCCATGCCCACAGAGGGGTACTGGGTCCCCAGTCCTGTTCATCTTTGCTGGTGCCTATCCTGGTCTGAGGTTGGAGCTCAGCTCATTGCCTCTGTTGGTGGGACCATGCTGGCAGTACTGGGAACAGAGTGTTTATTGAAGAAGTGAGATACAGTGGCTTTCACAAGAGTTTTCAAATGATCATTTAAAACTTCATCACAGCCCTATTCACAATAGCAAAGACATAGAATCAACCTAGGTGTCCATCAACTGTGGAGCAGATTAAAAAAATGTGGTACATATACTTCATGGAATATTATGCAGCCATAAAAAAGAATGAGCTTGGCCAGGTGCAATGGTTCACACCTGTAATCCCAGCACTTTGGGAGGCCAAGGCGGAAGGACCACTTGGAGCCAAGAGCTTGAGACCAGTCTGGACAACATAGCAAGACCCTGTCACTACAAAAGTAAAAAATAAAAACTCAGGCAAGTGTGGTGGCATGCACCTGTAGTCTTAGCTACTCAAGAGGCTGAAGCAGGAGAGTTGCTTGAGTCCAGGAGGTCAAGGCTGCAGTGAGTGACAGAGCACAATCTTACCTCTATCAAAAAAAAAAAAAAATGTCCTTTGCAGCTGGAGGTCATTATCCTAAGTGAATTAATTAACACAGGAATAGAAAACCAAACACTGCATGTTCTCACTTATAAGTGGGAGCTAAGCACTGGGCATTGGGTACACATGGACATAAAGATGGAAACACTAGACACTGAGGACTACTAGAGGCAGGAGAGAGAGATGGGGACAAGGCTGAAAAACTAAGTTGGGTGCTATGCTTACTACTTGTGTGACGAGATCATTCACGCCCCCAAGCCTTAGCATCATGCAATAAACCCATGCAACAAACATGCACATGTACATCTTGAATCTAAAATACTAGTTGAAATTATAAAATCAAATAAAACTTTTTCTGGGCTTTCAAATTTTGATGCCCTATGGGCAAAGCTACACTCAGCAAAGCCTAGTGTGCACAACAGCATTTGCAGTGACCCACTGGAGTGACCAACCAAAGGGAGACCTATTCTCTTGTCCCCACCTGCTCCTGCCTCTGCCAAGGAAAAGGAAATGCCCGACCTTTCAGACATTGGAAATAACTTTTTTCTTCTCCTTACCCCTTTCTAACTCTTCAGTATAGATGACTAATTCTGCTGCTCATTAAGGGTTGGGGTCACTGTGTAAAGGTTCACCACTCCCCTCTCCTTGGTGTGCTTTCTGTCTCTCTCATCATTTTTTAGAACAGCCTGGTCACAGGATGCACCTGCCCTCCTCTCCTCCATGGGGTGAGCCCAAGGAGCCAGGTGCAGCCCTTGTGGGGAGAGGCCCACAGCTGTCCTGCCTGTGGGTGGGTGGGCCTGGTTAAGTTCAGTGGAAAACCATTCAGACCTTGGGTCCAAGTGGAGGTTTTTTAACCCAGCCTTACCAGAAATAAAGCCAATACACTGACTTATATCTGCTTTCTGTACCTGGTCTTAAAGCTGTAACTGGCAGAGGTGTGGTAAATTTACCTTCTCAAACCCCAACAACAATGGGTTTGATTTTCCTTAGGCACAAAAGACATTTAAAAGTGAGCAAATAAAGATTAGCCAATTCCCTTACATAATAGTTCTGCAGGGCTTTGGCAAGGCTGAAATCAAGGTATACCAGGTTTAGTTCTGGAGAAGCGGAGGACTTGGATGCATGCTTGTCAGTGTGGGTGTCTTCATGGAAGCCTAATTAGCACTTCCCGTTCCCACCTGAGGCCCGAACTAAGCAATCAGCCCAATGAGTACGGATGAAGGTATACTGAGCTTCCCTCCTAAGCTTGTCAAATCTAGCAGTTTTCATTTTTAAACATTACAAAGTTAACTTCTTAAACTTAAAAAAATCCGCTTGTGAGGAGATGTTCTTCCAGGGAAGTGATTATCTGTCTGAGGCACTGACTTCCTCTTAAAGAAAAATTGGAAGTTTTCTTTTCCCCATGGAGATGGCGTCAGAATTAGAATTGCCACATCAAGGGGAGATTTTTCATGATTAGTCAACCAAAGGCAGTCAGAAAAAGATGAAGTTATTTCAAAAAGGAAGCCGCTCCTCCAGGAAGTATTTTTTTCTAGCACACATTTAGTGTTTTAGAGGAAAATGTGTTGACTTTGTAAATGGATATGTTGTCCTTCAATAACACGAGTGGAATTGTCATGCTGAGAAATTTCTTACAAACTTTATTCTTCAAGGAATTTTAGATCTAAGTTAAAATTTTAGACTTGATTTAAGATCATGATCAGCTTACATTTTTTCAATGTCAAAGATTCCTTTCTTTAAAAAGTCCCCATGAGATATGAAATAGATAAATTATGGAAAGTATAACACTGTCACAAAAGTGTGTGTATAATGTATGTTAAATATAATTTAATATTAAACAAAATTATGGAACAAATTTATAGAAGCATATATCAAACAAATACAATTTGACATAAATTATAACAGCTCTCGGCTGGGCACAGTGGCTCACGCCTGTAATCCCAGCACTTTAGGAGGCTGAGGCAGGGAGATCACCTGAGGTCAGGAGTTTGAGACCAGCCTGGCCAACATGGTGAAACACTGACTCTACTAAAATACAAAAATTAGTCAAGTGTGGTGGCGCATGCCTGTAATCCCAGCTACCTGGGACGCTAAGGCAGGAGAATCGCTTGAACCCGGGAGGCCGAGGTTGCAGTGAGCCCAGATCACACCACTGCAGTCCGGCCTGGGCGACAAGAACAGGACTCTGTCTCGAAAAAAAAAAAAAAAAAAGACATCTCTCCCACTCTCCCACCACTATGTCTCCATGTGCTGCCTGCCTGGGAGACAGTGTCAATATAAACCTGTGACCTCTTTGGGGCCCTGACTCCGGGCTAGCAAGGCTCAGACCCATGCATCCTAACTTTGACGTAGCTCTTGTTAGCCAGGGCTGGGAGAATGAGGTGTTCACGCACAAATCAGGCGCAGCTTTTGAGGTCATCCACACATGGCTTTGGTGACAACTGAAGCTCAAGATTCTCCAAAACACTGAGCCAGGGGTCCCCTCTGTCTCTAGCTGGCAGCAAGTAGTTTAACCTCTTTTGTAAAGTTAGGGCAAAGAACAAGATGCTGGGACAGGCTCACTTTAGCTCTAAAATGCCACGATTCTCCATTAGAAACTTTCTTTGGATTTTAGGGTCATGGCTACGAGAATGCAAACGGGCCTCTCTGTCCTCATTGGTCGTTCTTTGTTGATATCAGTATTTTGAAATGGACATGAAAAGCTCTGAGAAAGACTTCTAAGTCACTGAAAACTCAAAAGAGAAGTCATTCCGTCATCACTTCCTACTTGTTTGATACCTTATAAGAAAACACACACGCGTTCTCTGTATTGTAAGATACTAACACATGGCTGTAAACTGTGAATGCACAGTGTCACGTGTCGAGTTTCATGCCTTCCAGGAAGCTCTGTTTCAAAATTGTGTGACTTATTCTCTTCTGCTAATATTCTTTTAATTTCCTCTTAAAGCCAAGAGTGGGGTTCACTTGGTATGTTTTTCTTTACCTATAATTTCACTCTTACTTGATTGTATTCACACGTTCATTCATTCAGAATGCAGGTTCTGAGTACCCACTCTGGGCTAGCACCAGGCACAGAGAGATGAGCAAACCAGCGCTGATCACAGGCCCTACCGGAGCTGGAGGACATGAAACCTTCCCAGGCGTGTCTCTCCCATCCCATTCTCATGGTGGAAGGATGAAAGGCCATTGTTTGACCTTAAACTCCCCAACCTCCACGTCAGCCAGGCCACAGTAGAGTGGATTGGAATGGGAATCACAATTATTCCCTAGGAATTCAGAATGGAGACTTAGACAGAGTTTGTCTCGTATATAAAATGCTGTGGTTGTCGAGGCTATTTTCCATGAAGTAGCAGCTATGGCCAAAGTGAAGAATGAAGCAGGCTGCCAAAAAGACATGGAAACAGAAACGGAGAAGTGACTTTCTGGTTCCCCTCCACATTCAGGGTAATGTCTCTAGCCTTTTACTGAGGCCCAGTTGTATTCCTGCTTATGACTTTTATGAAATACTTCAACTCCTGTAGTATTACAGCAAATCTACCCCTTTGCTTAAGTTAGTCCCAGTCGAGGCTTGACAGTGTCCTTGCTCATAAGCAGATCTCAACTTAGTCAGACAGACTGAGAAATACACTGCAGGACATGGTACTTCACAGAGTGATAGGACCTCAGTTCCTGCATCCCTGGCACATGGTAGGAACCCAATGGCATGCGTGTTGACTTCACAACCAAATGAGTGAAGGAAGCGCAATGAGACCCTGACTCATTTTTTTCCCCAAGTTCCTTCTCTGATAGGATCCTTAGAAATCATCTGGGGCTGGGCAGCGGCTCACGTCTGTAAATCTAGCATTTTGGGAGGCCGAGGTGGGAGGATTGCTTGAGCCCAGGAGCTCAAGACCAGCCGGGACGACATAGTGAGACCCTGTTTCTACAAAAATTAAATAGCTGGGCATGATGGTGTGTGTCTGTAGTCCCAGCTACTTGAGAGGCCAAGATGGGAAGATCGCTTGAACCCAGGAGGTCAGGGGCTGTGTGATTGTGCCAGTCCTGGGCAACAGAGCAAGACCCTCTCTCAAAAACAAAGCAAACAAACAAAAAAGAAATAATTTGGTTCAAATGTGTCTTCTACAGAAGAGGAGGCTGAGTCCAGTGAGGTAGAAATCATTTGCTCAAGGTCACACAGCTATACCTGCTGCAGAACTGAAGCTATAATTCACGTCTCTAAGCTCTAAATCCAACGTCCTTTCCACTATCCCAGGATGCCCCCTTCCTGCCGAACCAACTTTCGTTGACCTCAAGAAGGCAAAAAGCCCCCAAAGTCAACCTCCCCTCTTTAAAACCTCTTTAATACAGATTCATAATTCAGCCATCATGCAGAAAAGCACTCAGAAAGGAAATTCCTGATGCTGCTCACCATGGGCTTGGCCAGCCACAGACATGATCCAGCCCATGGGGGAGCCGCCCCGTGCTGGCGTGTCATGAAGACACCAGTATGAGGCAACCGAGACAGCCCACAAAAGGATTCTTGGTTTTATTGTCCCTTGAGACGGGATTGTTCTCTGCCCTTGCCGGTTTTGCATGCTTCTTAAACCCTGTTTGAATAAATGAAGAATTAATTATGAATAAATGAAGACTTAATTTCCCCAAAATGGATGAGCCAAGCCATTCCCTCTAGTACAAAGATGTGAAAGGCATATCTGAGTGGGATCTGGGAGGGACTTAAAAATAAAACAAAATAAATCAGCTTGTTAATCAGGAGACACAAAGTGAAAACCCCACGTTAAAAAGGGAGGCAAGGGAATGATGGACAAGGATTTAGAGTCACAGTTACCAGCCTGCGAGTCAGGTGGGGCGAAGCAGGGACAGAAGGTCGCAAAGGAGCAGAAAATCTGAGTTAAATTGTCATTGTCCGGCAGGGCATGGTGGCTCACGTGTGTAATCCCAGCACTTTGGGAGGCTGAGGTGGGGGGATCACCTGACGTCAGGAGTTCGAGATCAGCCTGGCCAACATGATGAAATCCTGTCTCTACTAAAAACACAAAAATTAGCCGGGTGTGATGGCGCATGCCTGTAATCCCAGCTACTCAGGAGGCTGAGGCAGGAGAATTGCTTGAGCCTGGGAGGCAGAGGTTGCAGTGAGCCGAGGTCATGCCACTGCCCTCCAGCCTGGGCGACAGAGTGAGACTGTGTCTCAAAAAAAAAAAAAATTCATAGTCCTGGCTTATGGATCAGTGGTGATGGGTGGTGGGTCCGTGGGTGTTTTTTTTGTATTATTAGAAATAAATAAATGAGTAAATTAATAGAAAAGGGCCGTGCATGGGCCAGTGGGGAAGTGTGTGGTGAAGCAAGAATTATGAGTCATCTGATTCTGTGCAACCGAGGCCCATGAATGAAACAGTAAAATAAAGCGTAATTAAGGTGCCAACATAATTTCCTCTCCAACTAGAAAATAAACACTTCATGGCATCCCTAAGAGTTTTGGATTTATTATGATTTTACCTGTTGAGATAAATAATCTGTCACTGTAGGTAGAAATTGAAAGTCTCTTTGGTCTGTTTAATATCTGTGTTAAGCTGTCATACATGCATGTCAGCTGTAA
Source organism: Homo sapiens (assembly GCF_000001405.40). Taxonomy (NCBI): domain Eukaryota; kingdom Metazoa; phylum Chordata; class Mammalia; order Primates; family Hominidae; genus Homo; species Homo sapiens. The sequence continues at coordinate 253,081 of NC_000006.12, read as the reverse complement.
TTTATAGAATAATAGAAACAATAATGCCTGGCTTACCATTCTAGAATAAGACACTCTACGCTGACCTTGGGTTTCCTGTGTATGGCTTACAAGATCAGACTGACATGCTAAAATTTGTTTTCGTTTCAGTTATGAAATAATTAAGGACAGGCTTTTTCAGGTCCTTCAGTGTTGTTTAAATGAATGAGAAGGTATGTTTCTTTGACTTTCTGAAACAGGGTTTAAGAAGCATGCAAAACTTAGAAGGAAAACAAGAACAAACTGACTAAGGAAGCATTTTGAATGAGTTCGGGTGCAGTGAAATCCTTCGGTGGGCAACTATTAGATCATTTCTGTGCAATCAAATCTTCTAGACTGAATAAAGATAAGCCAGCTTCATCTTAGAGAAAAAGAAACTTTTTGATATATGAGATAATCACAATGCAGAGGTAGATGAGGGAGAGTTTAAGGGGACGGTTTGCAGAAAAGGCTGTCGAATCCCTAAAAATAACAAGGCACTGCCACAGTCATTGGAAAACTCAAATCCTGAGGTGAGGTAATACTAGGAAAATGCTAAGTTCACTAAAATAGTTTTTTCCGCTGCAGTTTAAACACAAGTTTAGAGAGTATTTTTGTTGCTGATGGTGGTTGGTTTTGTTTTTTAAAGTATATTAAAGAAAAAATAATTCATCTCCTTCTAATAACAACAAAATTGAGACCTCTGTTGCAAGGATGAAATGATGGATTATCTCCTCTCTTTATCAAATCATCACTCTGGAATTAATATAAGAATCATAATCTTATTTACCTAGCTCTGTGTGAAAGTGGTCATCTATCAATATATGTGACATTTCATTCAGTAAGAAAGGAAAGAAACTTGCAACCAACTTTCAGGGAAGAAATAACATTTCCTCTGAACAATTCTAAGGAGGAAGGCAAAGTAGAGTTTCATGTTCTCAATTCTGCTGAAGATATGAATCATCACACCTTTGCTAGCAGTTACATGTCATAAGGGCTTTGAGATGCCAAGTGAGTCAAGCCCATTTGTGACATTTGATAGGCCTACTTTTTATCCATGTGGCACTACAGAATGGATTCAAATCTCACTAGAACAATCTTTCTCTTTCTCTCGCTCAGTCTTTTTCTTCTGTGTTTTTCTAGAGTCGAGAAGTTTTAAAGAGGAGGGGCTAGGAGACCAAACATATCAAAAGAAGCCATGGGGGAGCAAAATCCAAAGGAATCTGTCGCATGTAAAGAGATAATATTTTTGCTTTCTTGTTTTTCCTATAGTTGCTGTCAAGGAGATGAGCCCAAGTAATAAGGAGGATAGGTAGATGACAGGGATGGGGAGAAACTTCAAATTAACATTTTTATTTTAACATGTGTATACCAGACACAAACTATTGAAGCCGAGAGAGGGGTAAATAAGAAATACGAATAGACATGTAGCAGGTAAGGAGATTGAATTGGTAATTAAAAACTTCCTACCAAAAAGCTCAGACTCACATGGCTTCATTGGTGAATTCTATCAAATGCAGAATTAGCAACAATCTCTCATAAACTTTTTTTTTTTTCCTTAGACGGAGTTTCGCTCTTGTTGCCCAGGCTGGAGTGCAGTGGTGTGATCTCGGCTCACTGCAACCTCCACCTCCCGGGTTCAAGCAATTCTCCTGCCTCAGCCTCCTGAGTAGCTGGGATTACAGGCATGTGCCACCACACCTGGCTAATTTTGTATTTTTAGTAGAGATGGGGTTTCTCCATGTTGGTCAGGCTGGTCTCGAACTCTCAACCTCAAGCGATCCGCCTGCCTCAGCCTCCCAAAGTGCTGGGATTACAAGCATGAGCCACCACGCCCGGACCCTCTCATAAACTCTTAAAAAGAGAAGAGGAGGAAACACTTTTCACCTTATTCTATGTCGCCAGTATTACCCTGATACCAAAACCAGTCAAAGATATCATAAGAAAAGTACAAACCAATATCCCTTATACATATCAATACAAACATCCTCAACAAAACACAAACTGAATCCAATGAGATTCATCCAAAGAAGATAAGGATGCTTTAACTTTGAAAAATCAGTCAATGTAATGCACTGTATTAATAGCATGACAACAAAACCACATAGTCATCTGAAGAGATGGGAAAAAAAGCATTTTACAAAATTTAACAATCTTTCATAATACAAACACACAAAAACTAAGAATAGAAGGGAACTTCCTCCACCTGATCAAGGGAATCTACAAACAAACCACACCTAACATTACACATGTGGTAAAAGACAGAATGTTTTTGCCCTAAGGAAGTCCACTCTCACCACTTCTATTCAACATTGCAATGGAGGATCAAGCCAGGACAATTAGACAAGAAAGAAAAGTGAAAGACATCAGATGGGAAAGAAAGAAGTAAAACTATCTCTGTTTGTAGATGACATGATCTAATATTAAAAATTCTAAGCATGCCACAAAATAAACTATTAGGCATATAAAATTAGTTCATTAAGGTTGCTGGGTAGCAGATCAATATACAAAAGTCGGTTGGTTCTATACACTAGCAATGAACAATTTGAAAATAAAAGTAAGAAAATAGTTCCATTTATAATAGTATCAAAAAGAATAAAATATTTTAAGGATAGATTTTTCCAAAAAATTCAAGACTTCTACACTGAAAACTATAGTACAAAACATCATTGGAAGAATTACAGAGGATCTAAATTAATGGAAGACATCTCATGAACATAGATTGGAATACTCAATACTTATTGTTAAGACGGCAGTACTCCCCAAATTGATCTACAGATTCAATATAATCCCTATCATTATCCCAGCTGGCTTTTTTTTTTCGGCAGAAACTGACAAGCTTATTATACAATTCATACGGAAAGGCAAGGCACCAAGAATAACCAGAACAATCTTGAAAAATTAAAACAAAGTTGAAAGACTCACACGTCCTGATTTTAAAGCTTACTACAAAGTGACAGTAAGCAAGACAGTGTGGTACTAGCCGGACATGTAGATCAATGGAAGAGAATTTAGAGTCCAGAAATAAATCCTTATGTTTGTGGCCAATCAATTTTGACAAATAGAGCTACCCTAGAATCCAGCAATCCCACTGCTGGGTATATACCCAAAAGAAAGAAAATCACTATACTGAAGAGATGTCTGCATGCCCATGTTTATTGCAGCACTATTCACAATAGCCAAGATCTGGAAGCAACCTAAGTATCCATCAATAGATGAATGGATAAAGGATATGTGGTACATATACACAATAAAGTACTATTCAGCCATAGAAAAGAATTAGATGCTGTAATATGCATGGGACTGGAGGTCATCATGTTAAGTGAGACAAGCCAGGCACTGACTGACAAACTTTGCATGTTCTCACTCACTTGTGAAAGCTAAAAATTAAAACAGTTGAATTCATGGAGATACAGAGGGGAAGAATGGTTCCCAGAAGGTAGTAAGGGCTGGGGTGGGGAGGACAGAAGGATGGTTAAAGTGTACACAAATATAGTTAGAATGGGTGGGTGCGGTGGCTCATGCCTGTAATCCCAGCACTTTTGGAGGCCGAGGCAGGTGGATCACTTGAGGTCAGGAGTTCGAAACCAGCCTGACCAATATGCTGAAACCCTGTCTCTTCTAAAAATACAAAAATAAGCCGGGCATGGTGGCGTGCATCTGTAGTCCCAGCTACTTGGGAGGCTGAGGCAAGAGAATCACTTGAACCCAGGAGGCGGAGGTTGCAGTGAGCTAAGATCATGCCACTGCACTCCAGCCTGGGTGACAGAGCGAGACTCCATCTACAAAAAAAAAAAAAAAGAAATATATATATTTCTTTTCTATTTATACATATGTATATATATGAATTAGAATATATGTATATATTCTAATATATATATTAGAATGAATAAGATCTAGTATTTGATATCACAACAGGGTGACTACAGTCAACAATAATTTATTGTACATTTTAAAATACCTAACAGATTATAATTGGATTGTTTGTAACACAAAGCTATGACAAATGCTTTAGGAGATGGATACCCCGTTTACCCTGATGTGATTGTTATACATTATATGCCTGTATCAAAATGTTTCATGTACTGCATAAATACATACACCTACTATGTACCCACAAAATTAAAAATTAAAATATTTTTAAAAATTAGGAAATTATTAGACTCATAGATATAATTTTAAATTAGAAATTAGAAAATCAAGCACGGGTGGTTTTATGAGTAGGTCCAGTATTACCCTCCTCTCTCTAGATCTTTTTAACAAATGGTGCTGGGAAAACTGAATATCAACATGCAAAAGAATAAAGTTGGACTCCTTTCTTACATACACAAAAATTAAATCCATATGAGTCATAAACCTTAATGTGAGAGCTAAAACTATACACTCTTAGAAGAAGTACTAAAGGTAAATTTTAATATCCTTGAGTTAGGTAAAGTCTTCCTAGATAAAACAACAAAGCAAAAGTGGCAAATGAAAAAAAAAGATTGATTGGACTTGATCAAAATTAAAAACTTTTGTTCTGCAAAAGACACCATCAGGTTAAAAAAAAAAACCCCACAAAATGGGAAAAATATTTGCAAATCAAATATATTCAGAATAGAAGGGTAACTTGCTTCTAGAATAAGTACAGAACATCTACAACTCAATAATAAAAAGAAAAATAAGCTATTTTTTAAAAAAATGCACAAAGGATCTGAACAGACATTTCTCTAAGAAAGATATATAAATGGCCAACAAGAATATGAAAAGATGCCCAAAAATTATCCACCATTAGGGAAGTGAAAATCAAAACCACAATGAGATATCACTTCACACCCATGAGGATGGCTATAATTAGACAAATAATAGTAAGTATTGGCCAGGCGCTGTGGCTCCCGCCTGTAATCCTAGCACTTTGGGAGGCCAAGGCAGGCAGATTACGAGGTCAGGAGTTCGAGACCAGCCTGACCAACATGGTGAAACCTCATCTCCACTAAAATACAAAAATTAGCCGGGCGTGGTGGTGCTTGCCTGTAATCCCAGCTACTCAGGAGGCTGAAGCAGGAGAATCGCTTGAACCCGGGAGGCGGAGTTTGCAGTGAGCTGAGATCACGCCATTGCACTCCAAATAGAGTGAGACTCCATCTCAAAAAAAATAGTAAGTATTGGCAAGGACACGAAAAATTGGAACCCTCTTAGTTTACCATGGGAATGTAAAATGGTGCAGCCACTTTGGAAAACAGTGTGTCAGTTACCCACAATATTAAACAGAGTTCTTATATTACCTAAAAATTCTACTCCTGGGTGTATACCCCAGAAATCAAAACATATGTCTACGTAACATTTGTACATAAATGTTCATAGTAGCAGCATTTTTTGTAATAGCCAAAGAGTAGAAACAACCCAAATGTCTATCAACTGATGAGTGACTAAACAGAATGTGGTCTATCCATACAAGAGACTATTAGCCACAAAAGCAAATGAAGTTCTTATCCATGGCACGGCGCTAATGACCCCCAAAGACCTTGAAAATGTGAAGTGAAAGAAGCCAGGCGCAAAAGACCACATGCTGTATCAGACCATGGATGCGAAATGTCTGAAAAAGGGAAATCCACAGAGCCAGAAACTAAATTAGTGATTGCCAGGGGCTGGGAGGAAGAGAAAATAGGGAGTGACTGCTCATAGGTGTGGGATATATTTTTTTTGAAGGTGATAAAAATGTTCTAAATTACGTAGTCATGATGGTTACACAACTCTTCAAAAGTATTAAAAAACGCTAAATTTCACACTTTAAAAGAGTGATTTTATGGTATGAATTATACCTCTATAAAGCTATTATGCAAAAAAGTGTGTATTATTTCTCTTTTGTCTCTCCCTCACCCTGTTCCATATATATATATATGTAATTTTTTTTCTGTATTTCTCTATGTCTCCACAACAGTCACTCCATTAAGAAGCATGTTTTACTTACTACTAATGATTAGAGAAAATTCAAGTTCTTCTGTACACAATAGTAAACTTCACCAACTACAACCCAAGCCAAGACATGGTAATTCCTTCTCTTCCCTTTCTCTGGAGACAGATTTTACAGGCTGACATATTGACATATTTCTTTCTTTTTTCTTTTTTTTTTTTTTTTTGTTGAGACGGAGTCTCTCTCTGTCACCCAGGCTGGAGTGCAGTGGTGTGATCTCGGTTCACTGCAACCTCCACCTTCCAGGTTCAAGGGATTCTTCTGCCTCAGCCTCCTGAGTAACTGGGACTACAGGCGCCCACCACCACACCCCGCTAATTTTTGTATTTTTAGTAGAAATGGGGTTTCACCATATTGACCAGACAGGCTGACATATTTCTAAGGGCTGGTGCCTGTGCTGGAAGGTCACATACATTGCAGAGGAGAAGGTGAGAACGTGAAGGTGGCTCAACACAAGTCTTTCCCATAATTAGGAAACCGAGCATGAGTGGCTCCACGAGTGCGTCTAGTGTCACCCTCCTCTGGTGCGTGTGAGTCATTAGCATCATGTCGGCACCTTCACCATGATGGACATGGGAGAGTGTAGGTTTGTGAGTCAGGCGGATGTGTTCTGCAAAATGTGGAGAACCAAACTCAGAATCGCTGGATTCCTGCCAAATGGAATCTCAGCCACATTTTGTGTTTGCTGCTCTCTTAGTTTGGTAGAAAGAGGCCAATCAGGAAAAAAAGGTTATATCAGGAAATATTTTTCTTCAAAACTGAAAGAAGCAAAACAAAAGGAAAATAGATAATTTTAAGCTTCAACTCAACCCAATCTCCTATCCATTCTGGATCCTCAGGAAAAAACAGATTGAGAACCTGTAAAATCCTTCAGAATCCAAGAAAAATTTACTAAAGTAATGTCCACTAAAGGGATGAGTACGTCTTAGAGCAAGTGAGACTGTAGGTTTCCTAATTCCTGGCCTCATAAGTTTCCCACAATATAGCACAGACTCCTCTCCTCATTTCACATAAACTTCCAGAAATTAGAGTTTAAAGGAACAGAAACACGTACACCAAGAAGCATGATTTTCTGCTTACACCTAAATTAGCCCAGAACTTTCACTCATGATGTAGTTTTACTCTGTATGAATGCGTGCGTTGTGTATCTCTACATACACATCCATATGAGTGTTATAATTGCATACATATCTATTAGGTCAAACCATGGGGATTTGCTCATATTGAACACTTTAACCTGTAGAACAGCAATTTCATATGGTTCAACCTAACATGCCTACACAACTGTAAAATTTATATAAGGGGAGTAGATACATTTGATGACTTCAAACCATTACCAAGACTGGGTTTCCAGACTGCTCATAATGAAGGTAATCACTTTATGACATCTATCTTATTTGATGTCCTTTCTTTTTTGCAGAGAATCTGGGCCCATCATGAGCCTGTGATTTGCAGACCTTGTTTCAGGGTTTGCTTCATGTCAGAAGGTGATGCGGCTTTATGAAGGAGGGAAGAGTGAACTCAAGAGTAGTGATGAAATGTGTTAAAGGGTGATTGGCAGACTCTTATGCAAATATAAAATGAACACATGTCAAAGATGTTATTTCACTCATTAATTAAATGTTACAGTGGGTTCAATAGAGAATTCTGAGAACCATACATTTATATACAAGGAATAAGGAATTATAAAATGAATTTACAAATAGCCATAAAACTGCTCTTCCATAGGGCAATGGCCAATTGCATCCCAATGGGGACACAATTAATTTGCATTTATATGAACAAGAGCAATTCACATTATTATCCATTTTCTACAACTTATAGAGTTTTAAAAGAATAGTGAGGATAACGTCAGTGGGTGAGATGTACAGATATAGATGTACAGTTGATCCTCGAGTAATGCAAGGGTCAGGGTGCAGATCCCTGTGCAGTGAAAAATCTGCCTATAACTTCTGACTCCCTCAAAATATTTTGTTTGTTTTTTTAATTTTTAATTTTTGTGGGTACATAATAGGTGTATGTATTTACAGAGTACATGAGATATTTTGATGCAGGCATGCAATGTGTAACAATCACATCAGGGTAGATAGGGCATCCATCTCCTCAAGCATTTATCATATCTTTGTGTTACAAACAATCCAATTATAATCTTTTAGTTATTAACAATATATAAATTATTGCTGACTATAGTCACCCTGTTATGCTATCAAATACTAGATCTTATTTATTCTAACTATAGATTTGTACCCATTAACCATTCCTCCTACTCCCCTCACCCCCTATTACCCTTCCCAGCCTCTGGGAACCATCCTTCTACTCTCTATCTCCATGAGTTCAATTTTTTTAATTTTTGGTTCTCACAAATAAGTGAGAATATACAAACTTTGTCTTTCTGTGCCTGGCTTATTTCACTTTCCATAATGACCCCCAGTCCCACCCACATTGTTGCAAATTGCAGAATCTCATTCTTTTTTATGACTGAACAGTACTCCACTGTGTATACGTACCACATCTTCTTTATCTGTCCATCTATTGATGGACACTTTGGTTGCTTCCAAATCTTGGCTATTGTGAGTAGTGCTGAAATAAACATGGGAGTGCAGACATCTCCTCAGTATAGTGATTTCCTTTCTTTTGGATATATATTTAGCAGTGGGATTGGATTGCTGGATCCTATGGCACTCTATTATTAGTGTTTTGAGGAACCTCCAGATGGTTCTCCATAGTGGTTGTTCTAATTTACATTCCTACCAACTGTGTATGAGGGTTCCCTTTTCTCCACATCCTCACCAGCATTCGTTATTACCTGTCTTTTGGATAAAAGCTATTCTAACCGGGGTGAGAGGATATCTCATTGTAGTTTTGATTTGCATTTATCTGATGATCAGTGATGTTCAGGACCTTTTCATATACCTGTATGTCATTTAAATGTCTTTTTTTGAGAAGCATCTATTCAGATTTTTGCCCATTTTTAAAGTTAGATTATTAGATTTTTTTCCTGTAGAGTTGTTTGAGCTCCTTATGTATTCTGGTTATTAGTCCTTCTCAGATGGATAGTTTCAAATATTTTATCCCATTCTGTGGGTTGTCTCTTCACTTTGTTGATTGTTTCCTTTGCTGTGCAAAAGCTTTTTAACTTGATGTAATCTTCTTTGTCCATTTTTGCTTTGATTGCCTGTACTTGTGGGGTATTACTCGAGAAATCTTTGTCCAGACCAATGTCCTGGAGAGTTCCCCAATGTTTTCTTTTACTAGTTTCATAGTTTGAAATCTTAGATTTAAGTATTAAATTCAGTTTGAGTTTTGTATATGGCAAGAGATGGGGTATAGTTTCATTCTTCTGCATATGGATATCTAGTTTTCCCAGCACCATTTATTGAAGAGACTATCCTTTCCCCAATGTATGTTCTTGGCAACTTTGTTGAAAATGAGTTCACTTTAGATGTATGGATTTGTTTCTGGGTTCTCTATTCTATTCCATTGGTCTATGTGTCTGTTTTTATGCCAGTACCATGCTGTTTTGGTTCCTATAGCTTTGTAGCGTAATTTGAAGTCAGTTAATGTGGTTCCTCAAGTTTTGTTCTTTTTGTTTAGGATAGCTTTGGCTATTCTGGGTCTTTTGTGATTACACATAAATTTTATAATTAGTTTTTCTGTTTTTGTGAAGAATGTAATTGGTATTTTGATAGGTATTACATCAAATCTGTAGATTGCTTTAGGCAATATGGACATTTTAACAATATTAATTCTTCCAGTCCATGAACATGGAATATCTTTCCATTGTTTTGTGTCCTCTTCAGTTTATTTCATCAATGTATTATAGTTTTCATTGTAGTGGTCTTTTACCTCTTTGGTTGGGTTAATTTCTTGGTATTTTATTTTATTCATAGCTATTGTAAATGAGATTAGTATCTTGATTTCTTTTCCAAATTGTTCAATGATGGCATATAGAAATGCTGCTAATTTTTGTATGTTGATTTTGTATCCTGCAACTTTACTCAATTTGTTTATTAGTTCTAATAGTTTTATGGTGAAGGTTTTAGGTTTATCCAAATATAAGATCATATCATCTGGAAACAAGGATAATTTGACTTCTTCCTTTCCAATTTGGATGACCTTTATTTCATTCTCTTGTCTGATTGTTCTAGCTAAGACTTCCAGTACTGTGTTGAATAACAGTGGTGAAAGTGGGCATCCTTGTCATGTTCCAGATCTTAGAGGAAAGGCTTTCAGTTTTCCCCCATTTAGTATGATACTAGCTGTGGGTCTGTCATATATGGCTTTTATTGTGTTGAGGTATGTTCCTTCTATACCCAGTTTTTTGAGGATTTTTATCTGTGAAAGGATGTTGAGTTTTATCAAATGCTATTTCAGGATCAGATGAAATGATCATATGGTTTTTGTCCTTCTTTCAGTTGATAAGAGGGATCACATTGATTGATTTGTTTATGTTGAATCATCTTTGCATCCCTGGGGTAAACCCCACATGATCATGATGAATGGTCCTTTCAATGTGTTGTTGAATTCAGTTTGCTGATACTTTGTTGAGGGTTTTTGCATCAATGCTTATCAGGGATATTGGCCTGCAGTTTTCTTTTTTTGATGTCTTTGTCTGGTTTTGTTATCAGGGTAATATTGGCCTCATAGAATGATTTTGGAAGTATTCCCTCCTCCTCTGTTTTTCAAAATAGTTTGAGTAGGATTGGTATTACTTTTTCTTTAAATGTTTGGTAAAATTCAACATCCCTCAAAACTTTACTAATCCCCTACTGTTGACTGGAAGTGTTACCAACAACATAAACAGTTGATTAAAAAATATTTTTATGTTATATGTATTATGTACTGTATTCTTAGCAAAAAGTAAGCTGGAGAAAAGAAAACGTTACTAAGAAAATCATAAGGAAGAGAAAAAATACATTTACTATTCATGAAGTGGAAGTGGATCATCATGAAGGTCTTCATCCTCATCATCTTCACATTGTCTAAGGAGGAGGAGGAAAAGGTGGGGTTGCTCTTGCTGTCTCAGGAGTAGCAGAGGCAGAAGAGGTAGACGAGGTGGAAGAGAAGGCAAGAGAGTCAGGCACAGTCAGCGTAACTTTCACTGAAAAAAATTCATGTATAAGTGGAACTGCATAGTTCAAATCCATGTTGTTCAAGGGTCAACTGTAGATATATAGATTTATAGGCATCACTCACATTTTCTTTCACGTTTCAAAATCCTTCACAATTTTTCATGACAAGTGAGTAAAGCAGGTCCCAGATACTATAGGATGCATCAGTCTTGGTCGTTTTACTATTAATTGAAACATATATTCCTCCTCCATTGCTCAGGGATGAGATAGCACTTTCCTTTAGAGCATTTTTTAAAAGATGCCCAAGGTGGATTATTCTAGCTGGGCGGTAGCTTGAGTGTGTGCAACAGTGGGGGCACTGTGAGGCTATTTGGAGGGAGTGGCGGTCACCAGAGAGAAGTTTCAGTGCAGCTGTGCACATGTCGACCAGAGCAGAGGGAGTGCTGTGCAGAGAGAGAAAAGTTAGCTGAGAAGGAGGAAAACTGATCTTGCTAATGACTGTGCCCTTAACCCGTGGCTTGTCTCCAATTTCAGAAGCAACAAATCCAAGAGTTTGTGCAGACAAGAAATGCTGCAGACTAGTCTCCCATGAAAAGGTGGGAGGTGAGGGAGGGATGAGAGGATGCTCTCTTTTATATATGTGATCTCTGCCCATCCTCACAGTAGCCCTGGGCAATCCTTATTCTAGAGAGAAGGAAACAGAGGTTCTGGGAACTCAGGATGCCACGAAGAGGCAGGATGTGCCCGCAGCTCATCTGGTTCTGATGCAAGCCGACTTTGCCCTCTGGCACAGGAAGCACAGGGTGCCTGGGACCCAGGCTGCATTCGGAAGCCTCAGAAATGCTTAATCTTGGCCGGGTGCAGTGGCTCAAGCCTGTAAATCTCAGCACTTTGAGAGGCCAAGGCGGGCGGATCACCTGAGGTCGGGAGTTAGAGACCAGCCTGACCAACATGGAGAAACCCCGACTCTATTAAAAATACAAAATTAGCCGGGCGCGGTGGTACACGCTTGTAATCCCAGCTACTCAGGAGGCTGAGGCAGGAGAATCGCTTGAACCTGGGAGGCAGAGGTTGCAGTGAGCTGAGATCGCACCACTGCACTCCAGCCTGGGCAACAAGAGCGAAACTCCGTCCCAAAAAAGAAAAAAAAAAAAAAAAGCTTAATCTTTATTCCTTTTAAAATCAGAAGAAAAATATACATAATAATCATGAATATATAATAATGAATCCCATCTCAATTACATCTGTCATTTTATCAGCGCAGCAGTAAAATACTTTTAAATATTTTTTATAGAGGAAGTTGCCCACAGGAGCGATGGTACCTCGGCTGCATCTCAGAGGTTCCGCCTGCCTATTCTGGAGCGCATGCCCTGGACCTGGTACCAGCCCCAGGTTTCCAGGAGTGGGAAACTGCTCGTCTACTCTACTCAGGTCATATTGATTTTCCTTGATTCCCTGCTCTGGAAAACACAGCTCCTGGAACTTGGTCCAAGAATAGGAATAGTTGGTCTGTCTTTAATGTTACTATTTTTTAACTCCTAGTCAAGTGCCACAGGGAAACAAGAAAAATGGGGCTATGGGATTGACTAAGGGAGTTTAACAAATGGCCTTTAAAATGACAAAGTGAGCTGGGCTCTGGAATGACAACAGTGGTAAGTTGGGAAGGCATCCCGCTGAGGCTCCTTGGCTCCCCAGCACCTGCCTGCTCCCTGGCTCAGTCTGCCTCACTCTCTGCTCTGGGCAAGGGTACCAGCCGAGCACCTCAAGAGCCTAGACCACGTGGAGGCTACATAGAGGTCCCAGGGAGAGGACATTATGTCACTCTTCTGAGATGTGAGCTCAAGAGGATGTTGGAGGCCAGAAGTTCTTGACTGGAGAGGAGGAGACTTAGATTCCTGCCTTGGCTCCCACACTAACTAGTTGTTTAATCCTTCAGTCCAGGCCAATTCATTTCTCTAAGCTTCCGTTTTCTCATCATAAAATGAGAGAGTGGATCATTCCAGCTCTAAGGTTATATGATTCTCAGGAGAAAAATGTGAAAGACAGCAACAGGTTAAAAAATATTTAAATGAGTTCGACGTTTGCCCCAATTTACCAATTGCCAACCACGTCTTCTCCCAAGGATGGCCCTATCAATCAACCCAATTCCAAAAACTGTCATGAGATTTTCCATGAAACTCTGTGTAACTGGGAGAGAATAAAGCACGTGCTAAACACGAATGCAGTGAAAATGGCGTGAGGCCAGGGAGGAACTGGGAAAGTCCAGTGGAATTCCCTGAGGATATGGGCAGGTGCCCGCCAGCGTTGCTGGAAGGGCTGTTTCTGAGGATAGAGGGTTAGTGAGCTGTAGCAGTTTCCAAGGCCAGGAGAGGGAGATTTTATTCAGCAGAAATAAAAGTGCTGGGAGGTGTACAATGACTTTCTTAACTTCATGGAAAGTACCATGGGAGTTCTATGACAGAAGCCAGGCTGTGGCCCTCGTCAAGGGTGGACTCAGAAGGAGGGAAACGATCGATGGCATTGTCAACAGCGTTCATTCTGAAGGCCCTTCATTTAAATTCTGGTAGCCATCAGCTCCTGACACCCAGTGATAACAATACCCTGCACTGGCCCATTGTCTGATTTTGATCTTTCAACAATCCCGAGGCAACTCTGAGATCTTGTAATTTTTGTCCCTCTGGAAGATGAGGGCCCACGTCCCACAGTGGTCAAAGATACACCTATAACCTCGTTCTCCAGCACTAGACCAGCAAGCCGAGTGAGGCGGTTACTTCTCTTCGTAGTTCCACAGTAAGGAGCTATTTCAACTTCATCTAATGAACTGCAGTCTTAGGGATGGACAAAAACCAGCCCTAGAATGACTAACAGGGCTGTGCCTCTGGTGCGTCTTCACTGCCACTCACAGTGGTAACTGCAGCGTATGGACAAGCATCTGCCTCTGACTGAGGAGACATTTATTCATAAAATAAGAGTGTGCCTTTGTGTCTTTTCTTTTCTTTTTTTTTGAGACAGAGTCTAACTCTGTCTCCCAGTGACACGATCTCAGCTCACTGCAACCTCCGCCTCCTGGGTTCAAGCAATTCTCCTGCCTCAGCCTCCCAAGTAGCCGGGACTATAGGTGCACACCACTACGCCAGGCTAATTTTTTTGTATTTTTAGTAGAGATGGGGTTTCACCATGTTGGCCAGGCTGGTCTTGAACTCCCAATCTCAAATGATCCGCCTGCCTCGGCTTCCCCAAGTGCTGGGTATCTTTCCATTTAATAAGTTCTAATGTTTGATAACAGAGCAGTGTGGCTATAGTTAACACAATGTATTATGTATTTCAGAATAGCTACAAGAGAGGACTTGATGTGTACCCAACACGTGGAAATGATCAATATCTTGACTAGATCATCACACATTCTGTGCATGTACCCCACAAATATGTACTAATATAGCGTATCCAAAAAAATTAAAGTCAGCATATTGAAATATCATAAATAAACCAAAGTGAAACTAACTCCCCAAGTTAAATAAATGGATTCTCTTTTGTGTCTCAATTTCTTCAACATCAAACCTTTTTTCATTTTAGTGAAGTATATTCTTCCAGAAATTAATATTGATTAACGTTAATATGTTAATATAATGTATATAGTAAGAACTCCCTCTCCCCTTACTAAGAAACTTCCCAACTACAATTTTCTCTTCAAGATTCTTCATGGTGCACATATCGTTTTAACATGCCACTTCCGTGTGTGTTCAAATCCTTTGTGGGACGATTTTCTTGTCCTTTTCAATTCTCCCTTCCCAGATTTGGTCTCAGGCTTCAACAGCTCCTGTGTTCTTGGATTTCAATGTCGCCAGTGATCATTAAGATCTGTTTGGCTCATGTGCTTGTGGGCCAAGTGATCCATTTTATAGGAAGAACAATGAGGAGGAGCGAGACAGTCAGCAAGAAAGTGGATTTACTGAAACAACACATGGGGCGTGGTGGATCTTTTGTTTGTTTTGGAAGGTTTTGCTTTGTTTTTTGGTGAACTCATTTCGAATTCAGCAAGAGGTATAATCTTTAACTTTCAGCTACAAACAAAACACCTGTCTCATTACCAGCCTGGGTAGGTGTGGAACACAAATGGTTTTTCATTTCTGTGAAGTATTCTTCGAGCTTGTATAGCCAAGAAGGCTTAACACTGTGCTGTTTTCTATTGGGCTTTCTGTGGGAGAAAAAAATTTGATGAAAAGAAAAGAATAGGCCGGGCGCAGTGGCTCACCCCTGTAATCCCAGCACTTTGGGAGGCCGAGGAGGATGGATCACTTGAGGTCAAGAGTTGGGGACCAGCCTGACCAACATGGTGAAACCCCGTCTCTACTAAAAATACAAAAATTAGCTGGACGTGGTGGCAGGTGCCTGTAATCCCAGCTACTCGGGAGGCTGAAGCAGGAGAATCGCTTGAACCCGGGAGGCGGAGCTTGCAGTGAGCCAAGATCGTGCCACTACACTCCAGCCTGGGTAACAAAGCGAGACTCCGTCTCAAAAAAAAAAATTGCATTTTGCACTTAGCAATATATCATTGATTTTTTAATATGGTGAAATATCATGTACAGCAAACTTTCATGGCTGCATGTTTCCTCCATTTTATGGAAGTACCCTAATACATTCAGCCAATCCCCTATTTGGGGACTTTCAGATTGTGTTGAATTATTAACTAATATTTAAGCAATACTTAAATAAATATTCTCTACATATATTTTAGGTGCATATGCAATTTTTTGCACAGGATTATAATTCTTCCAAGCAGAAGTGATAAGTGCTCAAAAGTTTTAAGATTTGTGACACCAATCACCAAGTTACCCACCACAAGATCTGATTATCATTTACATTTCTCCCATTAGTGACTGAGAAAATCCACGGTCCCCCAGCATGTCCAACAGGGACAACAGGGGTGTGCATTTGCGTTTATTAATATTTGGGCAAAAATGCCATTTCACTTTTGTTCTGTGCCAAGATCCTGGTTTTTGCTTGATCTTTCAGAGTCCTGAAGTCATGTGAAAGCAGACAAAAGTTAAACAGGCTGCAGCCACTAAGGAGCTCTCCTCCTCCTTTAGGATCAGAGTGATGCGGGCTCAGGGCTTCTGCCTTTTCTGTTGTTAGCAGACTTTCTCTGAAGCCCCAGGGGACTCGAGGTACAGTAGTAATGGGGGGATGGCTACAGGGTAAAGAAATTACCAGGAAAGAAAAAATGGAAATAGTAATTTGGGAAGATGGGCCAAGACTGGGCATGAGGTTTCTGGGTACCCAGCATGGCTCCAGCAAGAGAGGGAGCGGGGGGTGCTGGAGACTGTGGACAGAGCAATCCGGCCTTTGAGTCAGCAAAGTCCTGGGTGGGGAGGGCTAGAGAGCCTGATGTGGCTAAAAACAAGCTTCTGCCAACAGGTGAAATGGGCACTAAAGGAGAAATAAATTTCAGTTATTGAATATCAAAAGGGTTCCAGTTATTGTCCACACAGATTTGAGGTCCGAAATACAAAACTCCTACGTGATGGTAACCGTTCTTTTTAGAACCTCCTTCTCTCCATTACTGCCCCAGATAAAACTCCCCCTAGACATGAGCTTCCAGGGCCATGGAGAGAAGGCAGTAGGGTTGGGAAGGACGCAGGTTGTGGAACATTCCATGAGGATGTTCTTTCCATATTTATTTTTACTGCTTGGCCTTCTAGACCCAAATTCTCTAATTTTATCTTGTCAGTCTCTGTGAGTAAAAAATTCCACCTCTTCTCTCTCTGCTCTCCCCAGAGAGAAGTTTCTCTCTGTGAAAGAATTAACCACCCTGCCCCCAACAGTCATCAGTGTGTGGGTGACACCTCGTCCTGGATGAATCTTTTCAAGATAAGTTTCTTTTCTGCTTCATGGTATGTGAAAAAGTGGAAAATGAGGTGGAGAGAGAGAGACAGAGAGAGCAAGAACAAAAGAGAAAGTGAAAGAGAGACGGGGAGAGAGCAAGCACAAGAACAAAAGCAAGAGTGAGAGACAGATGGGGGGAGGGAAGAGGCAGAGGGAGAGGGAGAGGAAGAGGGAGAGGGAGCAGGACAGCTAGAGGGAAGTCAGCTCATCCTAGGAAGTTTCCAAACTTTTTCCTTTCTCTCCCTCCCCTCTGTTTTCCTTTTAGTTTGTCCCTTTACCTCCCCCTCCCCTTCCCTCCTCTCCCTCTCTCTCTTCTTTCTTCTCTTTCTCTCCTTCTTCCTTCCTTCCTTCCTTCCTTCCTTTCTTTCTTTCTTTCTTTCTTTCTTTTTCTTTCTCTCTCTCTCTCTCTTTCTTTCTTCCTCTCCTTTCTCTTCTTCTTTTCTTACTTTTCATTTTGATTGGGAAAATATTTACTTCACTCATCAAAACTTTCATCCTTTTGGAAGAAATCCTGACTCACAGTTCTAGGCCTATCTGGGCTCACTGAGGAAAGGACTGGGGGCATGGGATGAAATAGAGACTTCTTATGAAGAGGATTTCTGAGGAGGGATTTGAGTACAACTCACTGAACTTGGGAAAGGATAAAGATCACCCTCAAGGCTGGGCTCGGTGGCTCTTGCCTGTAATCCCAGCACTTCGGGAGGCCAAGGTGGGCGGATCACCTGAGGTTGGGAGTTTGAGACCAGCCTGGCCAACATGGTGAAACCCCATCTCCACTAAAAATACAAAAATTAGCTGGGTGTGGTGGTATGTGCCTGTAATTCCAGCTACTTGGGAGGCTAAGGCAGGAGAATTACTTGAACCCGGGTGGCAGAGGTTGCAGTGAGCTGAGATCTCACCACTGCACTCCAGCCTAGGTGACAGAGCGAGACTCCATCTTAATTAAAATAAAAAGAGAGAGAGAGAAAAAGAAAAAGATTGCCCTAGATGATTGACAGCCCCTCAGGAGGCCTCTTTCATCTCACAAGTTTCCCTCCACCCAAGGCACTTTCCCCTCTCACCTGCTTCTATCCAGGCATCATCCAGGGAAGTGACTTCAGCTTCAGAGGAACAGGAAGGGCAGGGGAGAGGAGATGACTACGGTGCTTGGTTCCAAGCAGCAAACCCCAGGCATCTGGAAGGGAGGCTGTTGTGGAGGGGCTGTTCTTGTTTACCAGCAGAGGGAGAGGTACCACCTTCACCCCCATGCACCTTTGCTTCCCTCAGTCTCTACACATCTCTCTGTCCCTGCAACCTAGAGGCCCCATAGGCAACCCTCCAATTTGTCACAGGCTCTTTCTCCTGATCACAGTAGTTAATAAAGATTCCTGGGCCAAAAGTCAGAAAGAACAAAGGCATCTTCTCCAAAGCTGATAGTGAGACCTCAGGAGAACCAGCCCAGCAGTGACCTATTTATTGCACCTAGTAAAGCTTGTATCCTGAGCTCAGCCCTTCCCAGGACTTTCTGTTAGGGCAGCACAAGGCATGGACTCAATCCTATAGGTCAGCATCCAGATCCCCAGTCCTCTGCTGTGCGTCTTTGGAAAGTTTCTTACCCTCTGAGCCTCAGACCCTGCATATGAGAAAGCCTGGCAAGGAGCAGCATTTGCTCAGGCTCAGTGACATTCGCCGTGACTGTCTCAAAAAGTGACAATTCCGAGACGGAATTTTGCTCTGTCACTCAGGCTGGAGTGCAGTGGCGTGATCTCCACGCACTGCAACCTCTGCCTCCTGGGTTCAAGCAATTCTCCTGCCTCAGCCTCCCAAGTAGCTGGGATTACAGGCACACGCCACCGCACCCAGCTAATTTTTGTATTTTTTTAGTAGAGATGGGGTTTCACCATGTTGGCTAGGCTGGTCTCGAATTCCTGACCTCATGATCTGCCCACCTCGGCCTCCCAAGGTGCTGGGATTACAGGCATGAGCCACCTCACCTGGCCAAAGTGACAACTCTTAAAACAAGACAATGTTTTCGGCCTGGTGTGGTGGCTCACGCCTGTCATCCCAGCACTTTGGAGGCTGATGTGGGCAGATCACGAGGTTAGGTGTTCAAGACCAGCATGGCCAATATAGTGAAACCCCTTGTCTACTAAAAATACAAAAATTAGCCAGGCATGGTGGCATGCACCTGTAATCCCAGCTACTCAGGAGGCTGAGGCAGCAGAATTGCTTGAACCCGGGAGGGAGAGGTTGCAGTAAGCCGAGATTACAATACTGCACTCCAGCCTGGGCGACAGAGCAAGACTCTGTCTCAAAAAAAAAAAAAAAAAAAAAAAGAAGCTGTTTGCAAAGCACACTTGGAAGGGTTATTCTGATATTATTTGATATTATTATTATTACTAATATTATTTTTAAGCCTTGTCTCACTCACTTTGTATTCCTAAGATAGAGATTTCTTGGCTATACATTGGAGCTGTGGTTATGCTTTGTGATAATTATTGCTTTGGGCCAGGCTGCCTGCACAGCTGCCAAGCTCAGCAAAGGAAGGGCGCTCTCCTAGGCTCTCTCCTCCCTCTGCCTCTCTCTGTTTTCTTCCCTGGGGTAGCAGTGGTTGGCCTTGCCATCAAGTGTCTCCCCTGGTCATCTGGGATGAGATGGGCCATGTGGAGTAGAGAAGAAACGCAATTCTTTTGGAACCAGGAAGACCTCCATTTGAGCCCTGGCTGAACCTGCCTGTTGGCTGAGTGGCTCTGGGCATGTCTTCTACTTTACGAGCTTCAGCATCTGAATCTGTTTCCCATGGTCGTCCTCAACAAACTGCCACACACTGGGTGCTTAAAGCAACAGATGTGTATTATTTCCCAGTCCTGGAGGCCGGCAGCCCCAGACCACGGTGCTGGCAGAGTCGTCCTCTCACTGCGCTTGTGGTGGTGGCTGGCAACCCTCGGTGCTCCCACCTTGCAGACGCGTCACTGCATCTCTGCCTGTGTCATCACATGGACTTCCCTCTGTGGGTCTGTGTCCTCT
This sequence comes from Homo sapiens, assembly GCF_000001405.40. Classification (NCBI taxonomy): domain Eukaryota; kingdom Metazoa; phylum Chordata; class Mammalia; order Primates; family Hominidae; genus Homo; species Homo sapiens. The sequence goes on along the minus strand of NC_000006.12, from coordinate 233,170 downwards.
CCTTAGAAGGACACCAGCCCTACGGAGTGAGGCCCACTCTCCTCCAGCATGACCTCATCTTAGCTTCACTAACTACATCAGCAATGACCCTATTTCCAGATAAGGTCACATTCTGAGGTATTGGGGTAAGGACTTCCCTTTTTAGAGGACACGGCACAACCCATACAATATCCTCATCACAGAATGGAGTGAACAATCCCTCCTTTGCAGCATTGTTGTGAGAATTAGAAGCAACAGAGCTCCTGCCCAGCACACGTCGTAGTTGCTCAGTGATCGGCAGCCTTTGTTACCACTGTGGGATCCTGTCCTGGGACAGGAGTATGGCAAGTGCCAAACAGGCCCTGAGCAGCTGTGTAGCTGGAACTGAGGGGGCAGGTCCACAGCTCCTCCAAAAAGCTCTATGACTCCACATTAATGGAGACTCCTTCTCAAGGGAACTAGGATATTTACTTCACTGTAGACCAGGCATCCCCAACCCCCAGGGCATGGATGGTAGCTAGCGGTCTATGGCCTGTTAGGAACCAGGCTGCACAGCAGGAGGTGAGCGGTGGGTGAGTGGGTGAAGCTTCATATGTATTTACAGCCACTCCCCATCACTCACATTTTACTGCCTTAGTTCCTGTCAGATCAGCATCAGCATCAGAGTCTCATAGGAGCACAAACCCTACTGTGAACTGTGCATGCAAGGGATCTAAGTTGCACGCTCCTTATGAGAATCTAATGCCTGATGATCTGTCACTGTCTCCCATCACCCCCAGATGGGACCATCTAGTTGCAGGAAAACAAGCTCGGGGCTCCCACTGATTCTACATTATGGTGAGTTGTATAATTATTTCATTATATATTACAATATGATAATAACAATAGAAATAAAGTGCACGATAAATGGAATGCACTTGAATCACCCGGAAACCATCCCCCTCCCCTGCCCCAGTCCGTGGAAAAATTGTCTTCCATGAAACTGGTCCCTGGTGCCAAAAAGGTTGAGGACCGCTGCTATAGACTACAGGTTTCTAAACATACTTAAAGCAGAGTGTTAGTTTATACAAGAGGAGGAACGTGGTAGAATAGGGAACACCCTACTGAAAATGGGAGGGCCTGGGCTTTCACGGGAGCTTGTTCACTACTTTACTGAGTGACCCTGATCAAGGATCCAGGCCTTTGTTTCATGTGAATAGAGAAAAGGTGTCAGACCAAATGATCTCTGTAGGGTCCCTGATCAGTTCATGATTCTGCATAGGGTATCTCTCATGTTCTCACCCTCCCACACTGGTTTCAAAATCAGTAAACCCAGGGATCTTTCCTGGTTGCTCAACAAAAGTTGAATTTTCACACTATCGTTATTTGATCTTTTCCCACATCCATCGTTTTTGAACATGTAAAATTATTAAGTGTTCATTACATAAGAATGGAAATTATAGAAAAGTAAATAAAAAGTAATGTAGTATCTGGTGTGATTGAGGAGATAAATGTTCCCATCACAGTGATCTTTATCTTGACTTGAAACATTCTCAAAAGAAACGACAAATTATCAATGAAAACAGAAACAGAAGGCTGGGCCCAGGGCATCAGAGAAGAATCTGTTTGGCAGACACTGCCCCCAATATCTTTAAAACTTTTCACAGAAATTTTCTCAGCAGACTTTACAACACTCCTCCAAAGTATTTCAGTGAAAGGAGTATTACCCCAATTAAACAAGAAGGCAAGGACACTGCAGTTGAATAAGAGAAATTATAGGTATAAATAGGACTGCAACAGCCCAGGAATCTTTCATAATAAAAAATAAGGAAACAGCCAGGCGCGGTGGCTCACGCCTGTAGTCCCAACACTTTGGGAGGCTGAGGCGGGCGGATCACGAGGTCAGGAGATCAAGACCATCCTGGCTAACACGGTGAAACCCCATCTCCACTAAAAAATACAAAAAAATTAGCCGGGCATGGTGGCGGGCGCCTGTAGGCCCAGCTACTTTGGAGGCTGAGGCAGGAGAATGCTGTGAACCCGGGAGGCGGAGCTTGCAGTGAGCCGAGATCGCGCCACCGCACTCCAGCCTGGGCGACAGAGCGAGACTCCGTCTCAAAAAAAAAATAAAAATAAGAAATAAGGAAACAGTATTTCTTGCCATGAATGTTTATGTAATTATCTAACGGGCTTTCAGCTTCCACAGTCAAATACCGATGTCACGATGACACGATAATGCCGCTGGACTTTGTCGGCCTTGGTAAACGGCACTGAGGACCCGAGTTCCTCTTGCAACTGCCAAGCGTTTCACGGGAACGTCATCTGGGGAGTCAACGGCTTCAGGATTAGCAACCACCATCTTTCAAAAGCGGTGTCATATGTTAAAAGGAGCTGGAATCATGAGGGCTAAAAAAAGATGAGTGATTGAAAAAATAGTCATGATGAAAGAGGCCAGGAATGCCAGAAGTAATAACATTTATTACCAAATTTCACAAAAAGCCTAACCTTTTACATATAAAATACAGAAAACCAAAAGAGAAACAATATACTTAGGAAAGTTTTGCAAGGCAGGTGACCAACCATAGGTGTCTTTGCTTATTGTAAAGAGAGCTTTGTCATATCAGTAAAGAAAAGGGGAAATATTCTATTGAAAAATAGAGACTCTCAAAAGCCAGTTCTTGACCATCAAACATGAGACAGATTTCTCAGTTACACTCCTGATTAAGGAAATGGAAAGCAAAATACTAGTGCTGTATAACTGGCTATTTACATAGCATTGGCAATAAATGAAGCTTAATAAAACCCAGCATTGGTGAGGTTTACCAGTCTCCTGCACCACTGGTGAGAGGCTGAGTTGGACAACAATTTTGGCGGGCAATAGGTAATTCCTGTGAAAATACACTTATCCTTTTTCAGGCAACTCACTCTACAGATATTTGTTTTTAAGTACATATAAAAATAGATACATAGAGATACATAGATATCTTTCTACATATCTCTATCTATCTATCTGTCTGTCTGTCTGTCTGTCTGTCTATCTATCTATCTATCTATCTATCAACATTAATTGCATCATTAACAAGGCCAAAAAAATGAGGGGTGGGTGGGGGGCTGAGCCCTCGTATCAACAAATAGAAGAGACTGGATCGAGGTTTTGCAGCTATTAAATAGAATAAAGTGATATGAACTAAATATGCAGGTGGAAGGTTCTGCAAGTCATGTTATTAAATGAAAAAGCGTGATTCAATATCATATACATACATGCAAACATATAGACATGTGTGCACATATGTATGTATATATTTTTCTGTATTTGTATATATTACATATGTATATTTATAGTTTTATTTGGGCATCACATTGAAGGATTTGCTTTACCTCTGGATACTGGAAATAGGTTAAGGGGACAGGGTTTGAAGTGAATGAAGTTTGTCTGGATTTCCTTCTAAATCTGCACGAAGCACAAAGACTGACGTGTCAGCTTGAGGCTCCAAGGGGACAGAGTTTGAAGTGAATGAAGTTTGTCTGAAGTTCCTTCTAAATCTACACGAAGCACAAGGACTGACATGTCAGCTCGAGGCTCCAAGGGGACAGAGTTTGAAGTGAATGAAGTTTGTCTGAAGTTCCTTCTAAATGTGCACGAAGCACAAGGACTGACGTGTCAGCTCGAGGCTCCAGGGTTTGCTGCTTGGGAAGGTGGGTCCTGCTGGGCTGTGGGAAGTCCACAGGTTTCAGTTCACATGATTCGAAGCACACATTACTATAAGGGTCAGCTCTTATAGGATACCAGTTCGGGGAGTTTCAATTTGACTTAGGAGAGGGTCTAAATCTGAAGAACAAAGCCAAATAACACACACCCAGGTGAGTTTCATTGTCAAAACCATTGAAACTGGCTGAGACCCACACACCCCCACCCACTGCCTGGCTGAGCCCGGCTCCACTTTTAGACATTGCGGGGAGGGGTGCAATCCCGCCACTTAGTCCTGCCCTCCCGCCAGCCCAGGCATAGTGGAAGGAAGGCGGTCAATCTGGGCTTTCTAGAACGATGCTGAGACTCCCTGACTCTGCCGAGCACTTGTGTAATGACTGCACGCGTTGAGGACTGAGAGAAGTTACTCCTTTGACAAAATTGCATTTCCAGGAGTACATTATTTAACTTTGTTCTGGCCCCTGTCAATCTCCAAAGAAAGTACTTCTCTTCATTCTAGAAAGATGAGGAACATTTTTCCCAAGAGCAAATGAAGGCTTAGACAAAGCATGTGGTATAAGTCACTTCTGGGTGGAAAATGGATTGCCTTTGTTTTATATTGACCTATCAAATGATAAAAAAAAAACACACACACACACACACCAAAAAACCAATGTTTTTTTTTTTTTAATATAAAATTTGCTTGCTTCAAAAAGATTGAAAACTGCCAGTCGCGGTGGCTCACGCTTGTAATCCCAGCACTTTGGGAGGCCGAGGAGAGTGGATCACCTGAGGTCAGGAGTTGGAGACCAGCCTGACCAATGTAGTGAAACCCCATCTCTACTCAAAATGCAAAAATTAGCCAGGCGTGGTGGTGGGCGCCTGTAGTCCCAGCTACTCAGGAGGCTGAGACAGGAGAATTGCTTGAACCCAGGAGGCGGAGGTTGCAGTGAGCCAAGATTGTGCCACTGCACTCCAGAGCAAGACCCTGTCTCAAAAAAACAAAAAGTTTTGAAAACTACTAAGCTACTACAGCATATAATGAAGTCATGATAAATGAACATGAATCTGACATAGGGTTTAGTTGTAAAGTACATTCCATCTTAAAAAGTACCTACACGCTAGGACCTGGTGTTCCTGCCTGATTTAAATCTTTCTTTCTTGTTTCCTTTGCTCCTCATTCCCACCATTGCCTGTTTCTTCCTTCCCTCCCTCCCTCCTCGTGCTCTGATGCCTCTCTGTTGTTTTAGAACACATTCTACAACCTCGCAGTGTCAAAGGCTCACCAGCCATTCCCACCACCATCCTGCGGGGCAGCCTGATTATGTTCAGGGAACAATACAGTCGCTCTGAGGAATGGCCCAAACAGAGGCACCCACACACTCCCCTTGCCAGGGGAGAATGCCAGGAGAGACCCTGTCATCCAGTAGGATGTCTGCTGGGGCTGCCCAGAAATATTTCCCCCCCATAAGGGAGAGAGGTGCAAGAGCAGAAAGTCCTTCTCTTGCGAACCTGGAACCCCGTTGTGAAAACACATGGTGCTTTCCCAGGCAGCTGCCGCCTATGTCCATGTTAAACAGTGACTGCTCGGTAGACAGCCCAACTCTCTAGGGATGACAGAACAGAAATAACCTGGTTCTCAGTGGCCTGAGTGGCCGAAATACCTTGGGACCAGCTATCTCTGGACTTAAGTAAACTAGAAATGTCCTTGTGCTTTAAGCCAGGTTTTTGTTACTTGTAAGCAAAATATCACTTTAATCGAATGGAGAAAAGGACTGTATTGAGAAGAAAAGTTACAATTATGTCATGATAATTATGATTACAGAAGCCTGTCGAATGCTGTTTACACCAAAGATCGAATGACAGCCATGCTCCAGGGAGCTGGTGAGAATTTCCCTGAGGAGGACAGCGAGCACCGGCCTTGCAGAAAAAGCCCCACGTTAGGCAACGAGGGATGAGGCCAGTGGATGGCAGGCTTCGCATGAAATGCTAAGGAGCTGTGGTTTTTGTCTCTAGAGAACAGAGGCATGTGCCTGTGTGAGCAAGACCGCTCACACTCACGACACCCACACTCCTCCTGTGTGATGAGGACTCATGCTGGCCTTTGTCTCCATCTTCTGGGAGAGGCTCTCTAAAGCCTTACAATTTCCCAAGTGATGGGAGTGTCTCTGCTATTCATGGTGGGCCCTGATAATTTATGCTAACAGGTCACTCACGGTGGGGGCCTGCGTGGTTTCAGGACGGGTGACGGTCTTACAGGAAAGACCCACGTGTCACCAGAGGATCAGGGCTCTGAGCCTGACCTCTAGGGAAGGGAGGTGGCTGGAGATGAAGTTCAACCATCAGGCCAGTGATTCAATCAATCACGAGTATGTCATGAAACCCAAGTGGAAGCTCTGGCCCCAAAGCTTGGTGGAGCTTCCAGGTGGTGAACGCATGGATGTAGTGGGAGGGTGACCGGTCTTGAGCACATGGAAGCTCTGCCTTCCAGGCCCTCCTGGACTGTGTCCTGCTGTCTCTTCCTTTGGCTGGTCCTGAGCTGTGTCCTTTGTAATAACACTGTCATCATACATGTAGCACTTTCCGGAGTTCTGAGAGTCATTCTGGTGAATTATTGACTCTGAAGGGGTCAGGGGAACCCCTGACTTGGTCAGAAGTGCAGGTGGCCTGGGGACCCTGGAGTTTGCAGCTGGCATCTGAAGTGAGAGCATTCTTGCTGGGGATGGTGCCCTTCACCTAAAACTTTTGGCCCCAACTCAGGGCCTCAGTGTCAGAAGTCCCTGCCCTCACCTTCCATGAAAAGTCTGCATGGCCCAGGCCAGAGCTTCGGAGGCCCTGGGTCTCCAGACCCAGGAAATGGAGGGGCTTCGCTTCACCCCCAGTCCACAGACTAACTACTCTGTGAAGAATGCTAACCTTTGGTCACAAGGGAGCTGAGGATTGGGGGTGATGAGATCTGAGAAAATGGGGAGAGCTAAATCATCCTGAGTGCGGCGGCTCATTGATACTGTTGTGGTGCCTTACACAGCCAGACTGCAAATGTTCTGGCCTAAATCCACTCTTTCAGAGTAAATAGTAACACAGGCAAATAGAATCATAGCTACCATCGACTGAACTATAATGGGAAAGATGCCAAGTGAGATTTATTTTTGTTTTGCTTTTTACCTAGTGTTCCTAATGTCCTTTTCTACCAGTGACGCGCAGCTTGGTAAAGGCCTGAGTCTGGCATCTCGCTGTGAAGCGGCCCCAGGTGTCCCCAGCTCTGTCTGTTGGCTCTGCCCCACAAGCTCGCGCCCGAAGCCACAGAGACACAGGGTGGGTGGGGGTGGAAAAGTGACGCCCAGGAATCGCTGGGGCTTTGCAATGTGGATGGTAGGAGGGTGGGTTGCGCCATGTGCTCCCCCCGCCTCCCTCACCAGGTTGGTCTGTTGCGAGGCACTTTCCCCAGTTGGCTCTGTCCAGGCCCCAGGCCGCCAGCATGGTGGGGAGCCCCTCTCTCGGCCTTGCCGTGGCTGCAGTGTGGACACACGTGCGTATTCAATCACTCTCTGCTGCCCCTAGACTCTGATAAGAAGCTGGGCGTTCAGGGTGAAGGCGTGGAATGATGAGCAGCACACAGACGGCATTTTGCTGAGCATCAGCAGGCGCTCCTCCGTCGGTTGCTTTTGCATAATAAATGTGGGGAAGATTTTTCAACCCCGTTTTCCTATGAGAAAGCTGAGCTCAAAGGCTGAGCTGCTTTGCTGAGGTCACTCAGAAACTCAGAAACTCACAAAGCAGGGGTGAGACCTCTGCTCGACAGCAAAGGCAGGCAGCGTCCCTCATCCCTGCACCACGAGGGCGTCACAGCCCCTTCCCGGGTGGCCACAGCCACAGGGCACCCTGCGCCCTCTCCGGGCCTCGCCTTCCTCTTCTGAAACAGGACGGTGATCTCATCCCCCTCACAGGCTGATGCAGAGACCTAAGGAGCACACTGGCTGTACACGGAGGAAAGCACCTCGGTTTCCTGAAGCAGTGTGGCATTCGAGTCTGATTTCCAGCAACTCCACTGCCCCCGCAGCCAGACTTTGCATGAGCAGAGTTCGCAAACCTTCTAGAATCTGGCGAGGAACAGAGGAAATCAGCTAAAGGGCGTAACAGGAAGTGGGGCCTGGACCGGGAACCTGGTTCCTCCGCTCTTTCCCTATAGGTACAGAAGGAACAGGCCCAGGAATGAGTAAGAATGTTTTTCTCTACAAATAACTCACACCCAAGCCTCAAGCAGGGTTAGGGAGTGAGGCATTGTGTCATCACCTACCACAGGAAGCCCAGAGCCAGGGCAGACTCCAGACACGGCACGCAGGGTTGTGACTCTACACACCTGGCGCCTGGGGCACTGGTGTCTTCCAGGCAGCTCTGCCAGGTGTCACATCTGGACAAGACAGAGAGGTACTATCTTCCCCTTAGGAGTGATGAACTCCTTTCCAGAAGCTTCCTGCAGGCTTCTCCTCATGCCTCACGTCTAGAATAGAGTGATCTGCATGTTCCAAGAACAGTCACTGGTTGGAGAGTTGGTATCACCGTGACTGGGTGAGCCTGATGGCTCTAAACTCTGGCTGTACATCAGAAGCACACACTGAGCTTCTGAAAAGGAGAGGCCTGGGCCCCACTTCCAGAGATTCAGTTCAATGGATCTCCTGTAGTACCTGAGCATCAGAACTTCGTAGCCCCCGAAGGTGCATGCTACGGCCAGAAAGAAACTCAGGGAAAAATGGATGTTGCAGAGACGTCGCCACAAATGAAACCCACAGCGACAGGAGAAAGCGGCTCGCGTCCCGTTGAAGAAGATGCTTCCCTGGATTACTGTGCAGAGTTGAAGCTTTACCTTTCACCTGGAGAACGCGTGGTTCTGTGACCAAAACAGTGGCAGCTCCTCCACCAGCCCCTGCTGCTCCCATCCCTTCCAGGGAAGAAACTTTTGTTTCTGTGATGCCAGCGCAGGCATTCAGAGCAAAGCCACTTCCAGGAAATTCTAAGAATGAGGTGCGGGCACCACTGGGCTGGCGCATGAGAGTCATGTGCCTCAGACTCCACGCCCCCTGCTGACCGTGCCCACAGGCTCCCAGGTTATCTGTGGCGGAGGTCAGGGTCTGCTGGGCAGGGTCAGGGATGTCTGGTTGGGCTGAAGCAGATGCAGGGGTCCTGCGGTCACCACTGCCTCCGATGAAGCTCTGAATGGTCTTCTCTGTTCTTCCATACGGTCATGTGCCACACAACAACATTTCCAACCACAGACAGCGTATACTATGGTTGTCCTGTAAGAGTATAAGGGAGCTGAAAAATTCCTATCATGTGATGACATTGTAGCCACCTCAACGTCTTAGCACAATTATATATATATACACACACACATATATATACTTTATATGTAGAGAGAGAGAGTGTGGCCTACGTGTGCAGTGTTTATAAAGTCTGCAGTAGTCATAGTGATGTCCTAGGTCTTCACATTCACTCCCGACTCACCCACTGACTCACAAGAGCAGCTGCCAGTCCTGCAAGCTCCACTCATGGTAAGTGCCTTGCACAGGTACTGTTGTTCATCTTTCGTATTGTTCTTTCACGGCACCTTTTCTCTGTTTAGATACACACACGCCACTGTGTCATAATTGCCGACAGCACTCAGCGCAGTGACATGCAGGTCTCAGCCTGGCACGACAGGCTGTCTCATATCGCCAGGTGTAAAGCAGCTCATAGCACGCGGGTGTGTGGAAGTTCACTCTGCGATGCTCACACAACAGCAAATTGCCTGAGGACCCATTTCTCAGAAGGTATCCTTGTCCTTAAGCAACACATGACTGACATTTGTAAAAGGGGCAAGAGACAGCTTGTGCTTCTCAGAAAAGGTGCCCATTTTCAACTGGTTTAGGAAATTTAGAAAGAGGGAGGAGGAGTATTAAAGTGGCTAAGAGTGTTTCTTTCCAGTTGGTTGATTCTGCACCTCACACACCTAAGGAGTCTGGGAAACATCCTGGGTAGCAGTGGTGGAGAGTGGTCGTAATTTACATTGAAATGGGGATCACCACTGCATATACAGATGGCCTTGCTAGGTGCTGAGGAAGCTCTGATGCCCCCGCGAGGATCAAACATGAGTCGTGGAGACAGGACATGGTGACATGTAGGAGAACACAGTTGAATGCCAGGTAAGCCCCACGTGGGCCTCATGGGTTCAGAGGCTTTTTTCAGAATTACTTCCAGTAGAACGGTTGCCCGTCACAGGGAGCATATCCAAGAGGGCGTGTGTGTGAAGCTGGAAAAGTGGCTTGTACTGGGAATGGGGTGTCTCATATCTCTATAGAGAGACCGCAGGGAGCTGAGGACTGAAGGAGAGGTTAGAGCAGCTCAGGCTCAAGCCCTCTTCCCCAGAATCACCAGGAACTTGCCAGGGAGGCTTTTGTTGCTGTTGTTGCAAAATCCAATTGCAATTACAACAATAAGTGAGGAATTAAACTACAAGTATGAATAGCATGGGCAGCTTAATTCTTAATAAGAAAGCCTAAGGTGCTTTCAACTAAACCACTTTCTGAAGTTTTTTTTTTACCAAAAATAAATTATATCCCAAAATTTATAAGAAAAGGTACAAGATAAAAAAGTGCCCCCTTTTAGAGCTAAAGTTGTCAAGCTGCAGATATTTGATTGATTTGTCCGTGAGAGGGTGGGAGGGAAGAAGCCTCCTTATGTGAAGCCGTCTCAGAATTTCTACTCCCAGACCCACATGCGGATGTGGAAAGCCAAACATGTGATTTCAGGCAAATACATTAAAGAGTAAGAGATAGAAAAGTATGTAATTGGATGTATCATTATGATATTTTCCACTGTCAGCAAAAGGAAAAAGATATTGATTGTTCACACGCGCAAAGAGAATCTCACAAACACACTCTTCCTGCAGCCAATGTCCATTTAATCATTGTGATAATGCAGCTACCTAGATTTTTACTCTCCACAGATCCATTAGGTTTAAAAGCTCTTAAAACTTTGATTCTCTACTGAAAAATGGAATGCTTTCTTTCTGGCCATTATAAAATATACTTTGCAGTAGTTTGTGCTGATTCCAACCGTCCATCTTTACAGTTGTTAAATCAGGTTTAGACTAAGCTGCCTCCTTACATATTTTAAGTTTAGCCTGAAGGTTTTTCGGTATATCATGAACTATAACAAGCGGAGGTGTAAATGAACTGTATACTGCTCTTGCGCCAATCACTCAGTTTGGGCCAATAAAACGCAGCCAACTGTTTGAATCATGTTCAAATAACGCAAACGATGTTCAAATACCACAAACGCCGAGCTGTACCCCATCCAGCTGTTTCTGCACCTCACTTCCATTTTCTATACGTCACTTTCCTTTTTCTATCCATAAATCTTCCTCCATGTGGCTGCGCTGGAGTCTCTGAGCCTACTCTGGCTCAGAAGGCTGGCTGATTCATGAATCGTTCATTGATCAATTAAAGTCCCTTTCATTTAATTTGGCTGAAGTTTTTCTTTTATCTCACTTGCATTTTTTTCTTTTGAGACAAAGAAAAACAATTATTAACAAGCCAGAATAGAAGTTTCGCATTGTCAAAGTGCATGTGCAGTCCATTCATTTTTTCTTGTTATTGTTAGTCATCTTATAAATACAGAACCACAAACTTCACTTCCTTTCGTAGAATATACCTCTTTCGGCTCTGGGAATTACAAACCCTTTACAATTTTACCAGTTTCGGAAAAAAACCAATAGGTTTCTTATCAGAAACTGTGTTCTCTCCCCAGATGCCACTCTTTGCATTTAAATAACTGAAATTGAGGACTTTGATACCACAAACATCAAAGCTCTCTGTTGACTGCAGGGTCCACTCTCAAATGCACCTTAATCCCATTTGAGCACCCCAATTCTTAAAGGCAGGGTATTGTGGTTTCTGAATTCACCATGGCTGTCTTTTTATGGAAGTTCACAGACAGGAGTAATCTTTGAATAGCAGTAATCTAGAGGTGGCGACATATGACTTCTTCATGTCTTTGGCAACTTTGTTTAATTTTTTTAAAGTTGCTAGTCTCTTTTTCTTAATGAACGGTCCTTGTTTCATGTTCGTGGCCATTTTCATGGTCAGCCGTCTGGGCAAGCTGCTTTTTCTCTTCTTGTGGTATCACTCCTCCTCTCCTTACTGCTCAGCTGTAGTTTCACACAACGAGCTAAGTGGAGCTCGTGGGGTCACTTACAGGAAACAAGGAGCATGACTCGCACCCATGAAGTTAGAAATGGCACACGGGGAGGGGAGATAGAGCAGATCCGTGCACAGCACTCATGTGTAAAATATGCCTGCACCACTGTCTGCTTTGCGTTTGAGTTCAAAACAAAAGGCTTCCGTGAAATATAATAAGCTATATATATTTTTCAGAGTGACAAGAATTGTCTCGCTTCCCTTCAGTTCCCAGACTTCTCCAAAGTTAGTCTAATGTCATGACATTGCCTGGGGAGGCCAGAGGCTGGCCTCAGAGACGAGAAAGCAGGTAGCTTGGCTTGGGCTTGTTTCTTAAGGGTCTAGGTGCCTACAGCGTAGAAATTCAGCATTTGCAGAGCACCGAGGTGAGGGGCTGGGGGACGGCAGAGCCTAGGACTTGCAATAATGCAAACTCAAGACTGCTGATTCAAGTCAAGCAGGCTAGAGAAGGGGAAGGCTGAATTTCTTCAGCAACTGGAACTGAGCTACGTGCATTCAGTTTCTCTCAACACATTCTGCTCTGAATCAAACTGTATTTTAAACTTCAACACATTCTGCTCTGAATCAAACTATATTTAAAACTATTTTAAACTATATATTAAAGCCGTTTTAAACTATATTTTAAAACTTACGTTAAAGTTCCTGGGTGTGATTATAATATTGTGGTTTTGTAGGAGAATGTCCTTGTTGTTAGGAAACATCCAGAAATTTTTAAATATGGCCTGTGCAACTTACTTTCAAGTGGTTTCTAAAACAAAGAGAGAGGGGCAGAGAGAGTGCAAATACGGCCAATGTTAATAATTCATCAATCTACAGTGAAGGTCAAACAGCGGTTCTTTGTACTATTCTTTTATCTTTTTTGTGAGTTTGAAATATTTAAAAAAATTGGGGAAAATACTTAGGAATAACTGTAACAAAAATACAGGACCTATATGAATCAATGTACAATATAATATTTAAGGATATAAAATGCAACCCAAATTCATGAAAAGATTATATATGATTAGAGAAGTGCAGATATGTGAGATAATTTTTTCTGGTGTTCATATTTTTAAAATCTCACACACTTTTATATATTAGGACATTAAATTGTAGCAAAGAAAATACAGACCATTTACTCATTCATTCTGCCTCTCTCCGTTTGCTCAATGAACGCTGACTCATCACTCGGGCTCACACAGCGGCTCAGCCCCTGGCCCCGGCTCCAGTTCCCCATTCTGTGTGGGCAGGACAGAAGCGGGAAGCGGGAAGCGAGCGGGGGTGCAGGCGGGGGGACATGAATCGGAACAACCGTGGCTGTCAAAGATGCCGGTGCATCCATCTCACTACTCCAGGCTAAGAAGGGACAGACTCAGAAGCTGGGGAGAGGGTTGTGAGGGCCGTGACTCTGGAGATAACCATATCTGCAGGGCTGCTCGGGGTCCACACAGGAGCTCCTCACTTCCTGCTGGTGCTGTGCTGCACTGTTCCCAAAGTGATGGAGCAAGAGAATTTGGCCTGGTCCTACTGTGTGCTGTTGCTGTGTGACCCTAGGCATGTTGCTTCACGTCTCTGGGGCTCAGTCTCCACCTGCAAAATGAGGTGGGTAGGACCAACTACCTCTCCAAGGTGCCTCCAGCGCTGGTGTTCTATGATGGGCTGCCCTGTTTCTTCCAGTCTGGTCATTTCTTGCAGATTAAACCTGCTGGGATATAACTGGGTGCTACGGTGGGGATATTAAGCCCCTTCAATGCTAAGTGTTGATGTCACACATTAACTATATCTGAAGCCAACAGATCAGTACCAAATTTTGGGCCCACCCTGCCAAGGAGAAGCCGTGGCCTCTCCAGGCCCTTTGCAGCTCCTCCCTCCAGCATGCAAGCTGGTGCTGGAGGGGCCCTTTCCCTCAGGAGATCCGGTGCCCCTGCCTGGGAGCCCACACACCTACTGTGCATGGTGGGATCTAGAAGTCCCTGCACAGCTCCCTTGGCTCCAGCTCTGCTTCTGTGATGTGAATTCCAGCCTTAATTAGACAGCAGGAGCCTTTCGTACCCATTTCTGCTCTTTCTCCAAAGTACAGGTGGCTGGGCAACAGCTATGTGGAGAGATTTTTTTTCAGGTCTTTGCTCTGTTCCTCTTTTCAGAAGGGAGAAAAAACAGTGGGGGGAAAAGATGTTTTCTCACTTAATAGAAGCTGGTGAGAGGCAGTCTATTAGTAAGGAATTTGGGGCTTTTTAGATTTGAATTTTGGGTCATTCTTCCTTCTGATCATGTCAATTGGTGAGTTCATTTCTTCTGCGAAAACAGATTAGCCTTCGAGCTTCCTGAGAACTGAGACAACGAGGTCCCCTCCATCTTTGAGTCAGCCTGGCCTCGGGGACAGAGGATGGATTTTGGAGTCGGACAAGCCCCGGCTGAGGCTCCCTTCAGGTGTTCACTTGGGCAACAACACGGTGGCTGTGGGATGACTTGGCTTGTGCGGGACTCTGAGTAGCACGGCCCAGCCGTGACCTCTTGCTGTCCCTCCAGTCCACAGGGACCTGAATGCAGGTGGTCACCAGCCTCCTCTGGAGCATATCACTTCCAGTAGTTGGTATCTGCATTAATAGCCCTTGGGAGGACAGGGGCCCTGAGGGGGGTTTCCTGTAACCAAAGAGGTAATGTAATATGGTGGAGTTCCTAAGGGATTCAAGATTAGGCTAATCCTGCCCTTCAAACATTTCCCCTGAAACCTCTCAGTCATGACCTTCCAAGACGAGAAGCTTCACGGCAGGCAATGAACAGAGACGGCGTCATCTCCAAGGCTCAGTGGAGCGAGTCACGTCACCCTCACTTAGCTGCATGGGTAAGTAAGCCCAGGCCTAGGGAGCTAGCGAGGGGCGGGGCCTGAATTTGAACTCCAGCGGGCTGGCTGCAGGCCCTGCTGCCTCAGGACCCCCACCACAGGGAAGCTCACAGCCTCTCAGCATCTAGCCCAACCAGGCCAGTCAAGAGGTTGGCAAATTCTAAAAACCCCCGATCACCAGCTGGTCTGGTCCCTCAGGCCTGGCTGTTCTCAGTCTGCCCCCTGGCTGTCCCCGGGGCCTCCCCAGCAGGGCCTCCAAAGGCACCCCTCCCACGCTTCACACCTGCCTGGGGTGCCTCTTTTCTCCTTGAATTTAACTACATCCAACATCTCCTGAGCTGTTTGTGTGTGCTGGGCAGTGCACTAGGCTCTACAAAGATAAGTTAGAAACAGTCCCTGTGGCAGGGAACTCACAACTTAGTCTTGGAGAACACAATCTTGAACCCAGAGAAAGCATGGCAAATGTCTGCAAACACATTCAGGGGGTCCGAGGGACTGACGAGGTAAGCACAGCCCGTGGGTTCCATGCTTCAGAGCCTGGGGAGCACTGCCGCTGTGGAGGCGTCTGCACCACACGCTCGACATTTCATTCCAACCCTCACAACCGTCCTCCAAGAGAGCCATTATCGCTCCCACTTTTTGCAGATGAGAAAATCAAATTACAGCCTGGTGACTTTGACCATGGCCATGCAGCTAGCCATGGGCAGTGCCAAATTTCAAATACATGTTCATCTGGATCCATGTCAGCCTGATTCCCACCATTCCAGATCCTCCCCTCAGTGCAGCCCAACCCTCTTTCAGAGCTGACGTCTCTGTAACCACCCAGCTCCTAAGTGGAGGGTTCAGGTTCAGGCTCAGGTGCCCCGTCCCCAAGCCTGCTCTTAGACCTGGCACAGAGCTGTTTAAGAGTAACTGGCCAAGGCTCTGGTGAATGTGAGCCTCTGGGAGGTCCTGAAGAGGACAAATGAAGGGTGTTTATGTGGAAAGGAAGGAGAGAACTTCATGGGCTGCGGTGAGGACAGGAAGACTCAGGCTTGCCTGGGAAACAGCATCTGGCCCACGTGGCTGGGAGAAGACGTGGGGTAGGTTAGAGGCATTCTGTGGATGAGCCCTACCTGTTCAGGGGAAGGGCGTGACCAGAGCGGTGAAGGGCATGTAGGTGGAGGGAGGCTGGCGCCCAGGCAGGCGCCATCAGCACAGGCCATTGGCCGAGCCCCCTGGTGGTGGTGGGAGGGATGGGAAGGATGGTTGCTGGTAGCAGAGCTCGAACAAGGATGAAACCACAGGGTGGAACCAAGGGACCTTCCAAAGACAGGATCTACATCATTCAACAACTACCTGGACATGGAGAGCACAGCTGAAGGGAGAACCCCAGATGACGGGAGTTTTCCAGTTTGGGTGTTGGAGAAAATGGTGCAGACACGGACTAAAACAGAGAAGTCAGAAGACGGCCTGGTTAGGATAAGACAAGACAAGTTTGATTTTCAGGTTTTGCCAAGAGCCAGAGGAATAGCTAGGCGAAGACATTGTCAAACTACGCGGATAATGAGTCTATCTCAGGGAAAAAAAGTACCAAAAATATATAAATATATATGTAATATATATCTATATAAAATATACATTTAAGCATATAGCATGTCTGAAAGTATTTTAAAATGTAGAGCTCAGGAAACAGAACAGAGACTTCTGGGGCATCCATACAAGGTAGTTGAAGCCGGCAGCATGAAGACGCCCCCAGGGCAGTGGCTCTCAGACTTTTACGTGCTTCAGAATGACCAGGGAGGCCCAGCACAGTTCCCCAGCAGTAGAACATATTTAATAAGCACAGTTTCCTTCCCTAGCAGGTAACATTTGCATAGAGTCTTCAGATCTTAATCTAAAGAAATGAGCTGGCTGGGCGTGGTGGCTTATGACTATAATCCCAACACTTTGGGAGGCCGAGACAGGCAGATCACCTGAGGTCAGGAGTTCAAGACCAGCCTGGTCAACATGGTGAAACCCCGTCTCTACTAAAAATACAAAATTAGTCGGGCATGGTGGCGGGCACCTCTAATCCCAGCTACTTGCAAGGCTGAGGCAGGAGAATCGCTTCAACCCCGGAGGCAGAGGTTGCAGTGAGCCAAGATCACGCCACTGCACTCCAGCCTGGGCGACAAGAGCGAGACTCTGTCTCAAAAAAAAAGAAAAGAAATGAGCTATACAGGAGTTTCAGAAAATATGGACTGTATTTTAGTAGTTGTTGCTTGTTTGTTTTAAATAAACAGACATTAGCTGCCTTTCAAATCATACCAGATGGGCCCTTATTTAATCTATTAACTACGATATTGATCCTAACACTACATTATGTGGGCTGAGAGCTGTTCATTCTCCATTGTCCAGCTGTTAAGAATGGGGACTTGGGAGCCACAAGTTTGGGTTTGCACGTTAGCTGCTACCTAGAAACTGTGGTCTCGGGCCATTTACCCAGTGGCACTCCGGGCTCCTCCTGCAGAGCGAGGGTATAATAAGTGCACACACTTCACAGGGCTCTCGTGATGATGAAATAACACCTTGGCACCTAGTAGTTGCCTGACACCTAGTACACGTTTAACAACTGTTGGTTGTGATCTTTATCATGGGTTAGCTCTTGGGGAGGGGGACTCGTTGTACAGAGAAGCAGCAGGAAGAGGTGCCGGTGAGTCAGAAGGTCGTCATGGTTCCTTGAGTCAGTACAGGAGCAGCCTGCCAGCCTGTGCCACAGCAGAAGCTCATAGTGAGATCTAAGCTGGCTGCCACAGGCTGGCAAGCAAAGGTGCCTTTCACACCTTCTGGCTACTTGACCAAGTTTGCACTTTGGGGAATTGCAATGATTGCTGGGAGGATCCTTCTTTCATGGCAGCCCGCCAGTAAACCAGGCACTGGTCATCACTTCTTATTCCCACTGTTGGCCAAGATTGGTCTTGGCAGAGGGGACACTGCATGCTCTTCCTGATGCTACAACAATCTCCCGAGACCAGTGGTCTGCCAAACCTGCCACTGCAGACTAAAAAACTGAGAAGTCAAGCGAACAGCCAGGCTTCTTTCTGATCTACATAATTTAAATAACTGCCTGGGCTGACCTGTGTCCCCTTGTTTGGCCAATCAGTTGTTTTCCTAATTTGACTAATTGTTCATCTTCTCCGGCAGCGCATACCATGAGTCTTGACCATCACCCGTGGCTTCATAAAAACTGACCTTTATTCAGTGAGACCTTCCTGAGTGTCCGTGCTGCGTTTAACTCTTTGAAACATAATCTCATTTAGTCCTCACAGCATCACCCAGGAGGGAGATACTATCTTCATTCCCGTTTTGCAGGTGAGCAAACTGACACTTGGACCAGTGGGGTCCTTTTCCCAAGGCCACGTTGCTACTGGTGTATGTGTTTGGAGGTGGCTTGAGGACTTAAAATTATTGAAGATGGTTTGGATCTCTCTCCTGAGCACTTTAAGAGATGTTGGGGCCACAGAGGTGAATCAGTCCACCTGAGACCCCATCCCTAGGCCTGCAGTGGGTCTTCGCATGTCTTCTGGCAGTTCCTATCCCGTGTCCTGGCCCTGGCTGCCAGCCTTCCCCCATATTGCCATGGTGCCCAGTAGGCCTTGTTCCTCACCTTTCCCTTTGTTCCTTCGGCACAGCTCAAATTAAGTCCGCATGATTAATGCACCTCTTCAGGCTGGAGGGCATCATGCGAGGATTGCAGTGTGAAAAGAGGATGTCAACCCTCACTACTCCATGAGTCCCACTGCCCAGTCCTTCCATGGACCTTCCTATTCACCTTCTCCCTTCTTGGCCCCTAGCCAACCTTCCTCAAGACTGAGTCCCTCTCCACCTCTCTCCCCAGAGTCCCCCTCAGCACAGGTGAGCTGAGGACAATGAGGATGGCCAAGAGGCCGGTGCATCTGAGGCACTTGCACGTGGGCTGCTCTGCCACTGAGGACTTCCATGAGGACTCTGGAGGAAACCTGTTGATTTGACTTATTTTGCTAGATGATGTTGAAACAGGAGAGTTCCCTGAGACCCCTTGCAGGACAAGCAAAAGCGGTGTGGCTTGTCTGTTCATGCGGCACCTGCTCAAAAGCCTTATGGGAGGGGGAGCACGCAGATGGGCTGGTGCAAGAGCTGGGGTGAACACCCCTGGGCTCCAGTCCCATGGAAGCATCCAGGAGTGTGTGCCTGAGGCTCCTGAAGCCCAAGTGGGCGTGTGTTACAGTGCACTCTTTTAGCTTTGCCATCCACAGACGGCTTAAGTGTTAACCAGCTCAGTGCCCCCTTAATACCCAGGTCCTTGTCCCATGTCCAGGAAGAATCAGGTCACACACGGACTTGAAGGATGAATGCAGGGATTTTATTGGGTGGTAGAGGCGGCTTTCACTGGGATGGATGGGGAGCTGGAAGGAGGAGGGAGTGGGAAGATTATCTTACCCTGGAATTTGGCCATCATCGGCTGATCTCCTCTCTTACTATCCCCAGTCGAACACCCCTCGACATTCAGATGCCCCTTGTCTTCTTTCTGCTGAGCCATTCTGCTGATCTTCTGCTCTTCAGTTCATCTCCTTGACTGCTAGTGGAACTTGTGGGTTGGGGTTTATATGGGTACAGGATGGGGGCCATGGTGGGCCAGAAGGCAACTTTTGGGCATGAAAACGAGAATGCTCATTCTCGTGTAAGGCTGCAGGTTTCCAGGTTTGAGGCTGGGGCCTTTGCCAGGGAACCGCCCGCTTCTACCCAGTATTTCCCTGTCTTCTGTCTATATCTGTTTATGACAGTCTACTTGGTCAGAATAAAGTGAATCCAGAAGAAACAAATATAATTGGCCTGTAAGTGCTATTATTGCTAAGTTACTCTGAAATAATGTGTGAGAAAACTAAAAAGACTCTGACAAGTAGGAAGTGTGTGCAAGGTGTGTGCAGGACGGGAGTGAGAGAGGGCTTTGCTCATCTGATGCCTGTGTGGAAGTGTGTGCAAGGCGTGTGCAGGACGGGAGTGAGAGAGGGCTTTGCTCATCTGATGCCTGAGCATAAGATGCCATATTCTCTGTGAAGACACAAGCTCAGAGAGGCTAAGTAATGTGGGTACGACATGACAGAGACACAATTTTTTTCTTATATTCTTTTCCCCATAGGAAGCTGCTTCTCATGTTTGTAGATAGCTTAGTTCAAGCAGAGATTGGTGGGTGACATGAGATGAAACACTTGAGATTTTTAGGGGAAACATACTATGAAAACATTAAGTGTCATTATTAAATGAATTTGCAATCCTCTCCACACATATTGTTCTTTTGAGAAAATTGTGGGGCTGGATGCGATGGCTCAAGCCTGTAATCTCAGCACTTTGGGAGGCCAAGGTGGGTGGATCACCCGAGGTCAGGAGTTCAAGATCAGCTTGGCCAACATGGTGAAACCCCATCTCTACTAAAAATACAAAAAATTAGCCAAGCGTGGTAGCAGGCGCCTGTAATCCCAGCTACCTACCTGGGAGGCTGAGGCAGGAGAATCACTTGAACCTGGGAGGCAGAGGTTGCAGTGAGCCAAGATCGCGCCATTGCACTCCAGCCTGGGCAACAAGAGTGAAACTGTCTCAAAAAAAAAATTGTGGTAAAATACACGACATAAAATTTACCATTTTAACCATTTTTATCAATTCGGTGGCATTAATTACATTCACCTGATTGTGTAGCCATCGCCACCATCCATCTCTGGAATGTTTTCCTCTTCCCACACTGAAACTCTGTCCCCATGAAGTACCGACTCCCCACTCCCCAATCCACCCAGCCCCTGGAAATCTTCAGTTTTCTTTCTGTCTCTCTGGATTTGAGTCCTCTAGGAACCTCATATAGAAATGATACAGTGTTTGCTCTTTGGTGACTGGTTTATTTCACTGAGCAAATGTCCTCCAGGTTCATCGACGTGTAAGGATGTCCCCATCCTGAAGGCTGAATGATGGCCGTTGTGTGCACAGACCACGTAATGTTGATCCATTCGTCTGTTGGTGGGTGCTCGGCTGCTTCCGCCTCTCGGCTATTGTGAACAGAGCTGCCGTGAAGACAGGAGTGCAAGTATCTCTCTGAGACTGTGCTTCCCATTCTTTGTGTGATGCCCAGAAGTGGAACTGCTGGACCCTACAGTCATTCTGTTTCCTTTTTTGAGGAACTGCCATACTCTTCACCACAGTGGCTGCACCATTTTACATTATCTTATTCACCCATTCTTTAAATCACTGTTTTTTGGAAGGCAGAAAACTGTAGCTCACTGGGAAACCAGCCACATCATTGGTGCTCAGAGCATTGAAGGTCTGTCTCTTGGGAACCCAGAGATTTAGGGAGTCCCAGCTCTCTGTCCAGCCACACAGACAATGAGTGCTGCCTGCCTAGAGCTGCCCGAATGGGGAGGGGCATGTAGCTTGGCACGAAGATGGACTCCTGTGCCAAAAACAGCCGCACACAAAGCCCTCTGGTGTGAAATGGTATTGGAGTTAGTTATGCAGGAGAATGTCCTTGTTTGGGAAGTATGTGCAGAAGTGTTTAGGGGTAAAGCAGCGGCACTGCCATGCAGGAGAGGCAGCACAGGACCCTCCTGTTGGAGTGCTGCCCCCCAGCCCCCTGCCCACTAACAGGGTTCCTGAAGAGCTAAGAGCCTTTCGATCTGCTAGACTGTCTGGCGAGGGTTTCCCTGACTATTCTCCACGGGGAGTTCACCCAGCTGGAAACAATAACTGCCCCTGCACCCGATTCCTGAACCCCCCCGCACCCCACTGTAGTCTGCAAAACTCCCATCACCTGAACAACAGACCAGAGGAGGAAAGATTCACAGCACTCCACTGACCAGCTAATACTTACTGAACACCAGGGACGCTGAGAACTGGGGCAGAAGGAGGCTCCAAGGGCTTCCCCTTCTAATCCCGGCATCATGAGTTCATTCACTGGTGCAACTCAGT